>NC_000007.14:115840112-116143142 GCF_000001405.40 Homo sapiens | reverse complement strand
TATCCAGCTAGCGAGAGTTGTAAAAGAGGAAATTTAGGGCAGGCTTCTTGTCTAAAGGAGATAACTTCAAAGTCGCACGCCTGACCTTCATTCACATCCTGTGAGACTGAACGTAGTCACAGGGTGACGCCTAACTGCAAGGGAGGCTGGGAAATGCAGGCTTTACCTCAACAACCAGGTACTCAGCTAAAACTCAGAGGGTTCTATAAATAATCGGTGGTCTATGCTACATTTATACCAGGCATTCAATTTTTTATTATTGATAGTTAGGACTTTTTTGTTATAAATAACAAATACTTTTGAGCTGGCTTTAACAAAAATGGGGAATTTATTATAAAGATACAGGAAATCCAAGGGTAAGAATGGACTTCAGGAAGAGACTGGAAACAGGAACTGAAAATTTTTAGAATCCTTCCTCTGTCTGCATCTCTGCTTCTCTCTGTATTTCTGATCCTTTCTTTTTTCATAGCCTGGCTTTCTTTGACCCTCTGGGCACATGAGAAAAAGCACCTTAAGAGCATCTGAAGAGCCCTCAACAAGTTAACCTGTGGCAATTTTAGCTGCATGCAGAACTCATTTGACTTCTCTAAGTTTCAATTCCAAATATCTGGGTGGAGGAATCTGATTGGTTCAACTAGGGTCAGGTGTCTACCTCTGCTGCACTTAATTGTTGCAAATGCGGTGGGAGTCATACAGTACAATTGTAGCTGGTAGGACCCAGCTGTATGTGGGAGTACATTCTGAAAAATAAAGATAGATTCCCTAAAATGTGTCCACTACCTCGAGTCTTATCAGTATTCTTAGTAATCCATCACTTCAAATATGAATGATCGTTATATTTTGTTTCATCCTCTACGAGTTTATGGCTAGCGTATGTCATAGAGACCAGAGGAGTTCATAGTAAATCTAATTGTTTGGGAGTTGTGAAGAAAATGGAGAACCCCTTGGGCCTCTGAAGATGTACATTCTTCTAGCTGTATAGGTAATCTTTTCATCATAGAAAATTGTACTTGGGAAAGAAAAAGAGCTGCTCTGACAGCTGCCCACTGGTTACTAGCCTGGCACTCACAGTAAGGCACAGTGTTCTCTTGCTTAACCTAAATGGCACCAGTATCTCGTGATATCACTCTGTGATCATGATGAAAAGAGATAAACCCCAAACCAGACCATAATAATATCTGAACAAGGACCATGTGCAAACCACAAAAATGACCAAATATCTTTCCCTCCTGGTTAACATGAGCGACTATTTATCAATTGCAGCCTTAAACTCACTGTGTTTTTTCTGCTTCTTAGAAAACTATTGATATCCAATTGTTGAATTAGCCCTACTTTTTGATAACATTCAGTCTATAGCTAAGTCCTTCTTTGAGCCCTCCCTAAAAATCATGTAAAACAAACCCAACTTCTGTTACCTGCTCCCAATATCACCTTTTTGCAGAGATAACTTCAGAGCTCCTCATGGGATATGGTGGCCCCTGCTTCAGCAAATAATACATCTAACTTTGACTGCCTCTGTGCTTCCAGTGGTCTTTGGATGGTGGTCATTAACATTCTTTTCTAAAGAAGCTGAGAAGAAAAAACAAAACAAAGCACACATGATCATACCCAAGGGACTCTGTCTGTTTTACCTTTGTCCAGTTGTACTGAGCATGTTTTTAGATTAATGAGTTGGCTTGTTTAGAAGGTGACTAAAGACACCTATTATAACTTGAGTAGTTCCATAGTTTGTTGCAAGACAACATTGTAACAGAAACTTTTTTCACTTAGTTATTAAAAAATTATTAAAAATTTAGAAAAATCCCCATAAAGATTATTTATTATTTATGACATTAACATCATGAGAATATATTAATTTAAATTGTTCCAGCTCCTTTTCACAGTTCTAGATATTTAAAATTGCTCACGCAATTTAAATTTGGAATCATAATTGTCTTTTATTTTTTACTTTTACTGGCTATATCCTGCCTTACTGATACATTCCTCCTGTGAACCTCTGAAACAACTCTTACAGCACTTACTTACTTAGCATGCCTTATTAATTAAATTTTAATAGGTATGCATCTGTTTACAAACCTCTGTAATTTACAATGATTGTAAATTTCTAGACATTATAAGAGAATTTTTTCCAAGTCTCCTAGAGGGCTTGATACTTTATACAAAATAATTGTATTATAGATAAATGGCTGATATCTGGATGGTGGGGAAAATTTGTTGACAGCCCAGAAAGATTGCTAGATTGCAAATTCCTTGAGGAAATACATTGTGTCACCTCTAGTAGATAGAATTTCATGTCTCATGGATGTGTTAGTTCATCATGGTTGCCCTATAAACATTTGCTGAATGATGAAATGCTACAGTGCACATAATGCACTACAGAGTGTGGAGGGTCAGATGAGGGTTCTAAATGGGAAGGCAAAAATTGAAGATAGTTTTAACCTGACTTCTCATTTAGCCTCTATGGCTGGGTATGTGTTATTCATATTCCTTTAGGCATTACATCTAAAGTAGTTATTGGCATGCATATGTTGTAAGACACTGCCAATACATCATTGTTTTAGTTTATAATACACATATCTGTTTTGTTATTAGTTTTAATGATGTAATACTTTGAAATTATATAAAAGTTCTTGTCAGCAGAAATTCAGGATTTGGAGAGGATCTACTAGGCTCTCTCAAGGATGCTGAGGTAGTCTTTGGAGCCTAAAATTCCTCCTTATGAGATGGAGTCATTAAAAAAGGTAAATTTATTCAAGCATGTTATTGATTCTGTGGAATACTAAACAGAACACATAGATTAAATTGGCTCTATTCTTGCGTGAAGAATGTTAAACTGTGGAATCTAAACAAAGAGTAGACCCTCTTCCAGAGCCACTCATTTCTTTCACTTATCTGATTTTCCATCATGTCATGCTTTATTTCTCAGAGTTGCCTCTTTCTAGATTCCAAAAGTCAATCCTCCAGTCTTGGCCTTTATTACTGAAACCTTAGATTGTTTTAATAGCCAATGAATGGATTTCCTCACAGTCCTTCACCTCTCCTGGTAGAATTTTTCACTCCTGCTTCATCTGCTATGCTTAACCTGCTATGATGATATTTCTAGAACATTCCTTCCATTGCATCATGCCCCAGCATAAAACACTATGGTGCTCCCTTTTGCTTTGTTTATCCTTGGATCTATGTCTCTTGGACATCTGCAATCCAGCCTCATGGGGGTTATGCCCATTTCTGTCCAAGTGCCCTGAGTGCCTGGTCAAGGTTCAGCTGGTTTCTTTCTATCTTCTGTTTATCCTATGCTCATTTGTGTATCTGCATACCATCATCTGGTGATTTATCTTCTGGTCTCTCCTTTTGCCTACCTTCTTTCTCTCAATTCTCCCAGTCTTTAAGGCCTATCTCAAACTCCCTCTCTTCTACAAACCTTTCTTCTCCAGGACACAAATATAATCTCCTTCTGTGGACTACCAGAGTAATTCTGGCCAGGATCCCTTAGTTTATCACAGAATTGTTTTCTGTTTCTTAAGATTTGGTTTACTTTCCTAACCTTGATCATAAACTAAATAAATGCAAGGTTCAATGATTTAAACTTTTTGTTTTACATTACCTCCATTCTTGGCACACTCAATAAATAATAACAATAAAATTCTAGTGTGATGAAAGGTGAGCTTTAATCAAAGAAAGCATGATAAAGCAGTGGCTCTTGAACGGAGAAGGTTTGTTGAAAGGCTGAGGACGGGTTGAGAAGCGGTGAGAATGGATCATTGTTCTGACACTGTGCGGGATGGAGTGCTGGGCAGTGAATGGAGGCTGTCAACTCTGGTTAGACTTGGCCATTGTTCCTGGGACGCCCGTGTTAGCTCTGAGTAAGAGATAATTCATCAGAACGCTCTTGTACTTTTTTTCTCTCTTGCTCTGGGGCAGAAACTGTTCTACTTCACAGGCTGAACTTTTTACCTCTTGCCCTGAGAGGCAGAAACATGCTGCCTGAGTGCTTCCATTTTGAGACACCTTGTAGGAATCCTTATTGAATTGCTTTAGAAGAGTAGATTCTTAGCCCTCTAGTGCAGCAATCTGCCACGGCAACCCCAGAGAGTGTTATTTTTCAGTCAGAGGTAGAAGCCTCCTGTAATATGGGCTCACTGGGCTTTTGGGGAAAAAAGACAGCATTTTGCAAGCTTAGTTCTAATTGAACATCCCCATGTTGCAATTATTATTGTATTTCAGTCTCGTAGCCTTTGTTACAGAGGTTTTTGTGTGAGTTAGGAGGGGACACGTTGGGTGACCGCTCAAGCCTTTACTTTTTTTCTTTAATTTATTAGAGTTCAAATTAAACAAGGCTCCTGCTGTTACCAAAGTTTTCTGAACTATTTTGTGTAAATGTTATTCATCCTTTGAAATCAATACAATTAAAAGTTGTGTTAAGAGTCTTCCTTTGCAAGGCTATGAACTTTTTCTCTAAGGATTTTTAACTTGTTTCAGGTCTTTGATTTCTTAAATGCATTTCAGAAAAGAAGATATACATGTTCTTTAATTGCTTCTTAAATTGGCAAAGTTATATTCTGTCTCTTAGACAAAAATCTTTAAATGATTGCATTTCTCTGTAGATTAGTAGCTTGTTAATTTTAGGGATGAAATGAACTCAGGAATAAAAATCATTTGACCGAGTTATCTCAGGCCTCACTTCAAAAAGATGCAGATTCTCCCTAACAAGGGCCTATATGAGATCAGAGCTTCTGTGTGACGTACTGGGGACATCTAGTGGACAAAAGTCAGAATGGAACATTAAACTGTATACCCAAACAGGATCCTAACTTTCAGATAATATCATGCTTATGAAAAAATCAGAAAATCAGTGCACTGTCTGTGAAGATAAAATACCATGTACATCTAACACCTGATTTTAGTGTTATCTGTTGTTTTGAATTCATTATAAATATAATGGCTTATCTTATTTGATTACACTTAGTTTATTGCAGCAGTGTCAGATTTTTAATTTAATAGATCCTGTACATGATGGAAAATATCTCATTATCAACATTGGAGAGGCAGATTTACGTAGCAGAAATGAATGTTGTGTTTGGCTAGGTATATAACCTGAGGAAAGATTGTGAATCTCTTTACTTTCACATATAAAGTGCATGGTTAAACAAATGACCGCATTTCTTCTGGTTTGGAAATCTAGAATTCTTGATTATTTTCATTTATTTTATTCATATTCATTTCATATTCATATTCAAATTTATAATTATTTATTTATTAATATTTTCATTTTCTAAACTATTTTATACTGTACAGAGGGTTTTCACAAGTATCATTTAAGTTGATTATCAATAAAAATGTCTTAGGTATTTAGTTCAAATTTTATAAATTGATAGGAAGGTAAGATGACTTGTGAACTAAAAAGCCCAAGTTTCTTGACATTTGAACCCTTCTAGTAGAATTTCACTGTTGATGCAGTGTGTGTAAATTTCTTAATGTTTGGGGGAATTCAGTTAAACTCTCAATAGAGAGTAACTACCAGTTAGCATCTACCCTAATCATCTTCACATATATCATTTCTAATCATCTTAATAACTTGTAGAATGGAATCCTTAAACCCAATTCATAGTTGGAAAGTTAAGACTCAAAGACATAAAATAGCTGCTCAAGTTTACGAGAGAGTCACTGTCAAGGCCTATACTCACATCCAAGTCTCTCTGAGTTTATTAAAACAATGCCGAAAAGCAACACTTTTGCAAGTAAGGTGACCCCAGAAAGCTGGCACTGTGTGTGTTTATTTCTTTCCCTTGAGGATTTAGAAGTCCACTGGTAAGCATTTGTAAAGTCTCAAACTAGACCTGTCAAACATAAAGACACAGAAACATAAATACAACTTAGAATTGAATATCTCAGATGCTTTTTAAAAATTATTTTAAAAGACAAAAACAACATGATGAGTCTCTTACCTTGGGGGAAAAGATCATCAAGAAAATATGTGATAATTGCTGGTCACTCTGAAGTCCATGATGATGAGGAAATGATGTTTAAGATATGATAGAGACACAACAGAACATGTGGTAAAGTTTTAGGATTAAATTAGCCAAAGACAAATTTATAGAAGAAACAACTTTAAACAGCAAATATTGATTAAATTTGGAGGAATATTATATGAAATTAACAGTTTTTACACATTCCAGTTTGCCATTGAAAATTACTTCATTGAGAAGAGATTTGGAATAGTGAAAGGGATCAATGAATTAGATATGGTGCTTTAAAAAGTCACATAATTTATTTTGATAACATTAATTGAATTAATTTTACTTTGAAAAAATCTTAAATGACACTAAAATTAAATACTGATAATATCATCATAAATGACACCTTTCTCTTATTTCATTTCTTTTCTTACAAATGTTTAGCTTTACAAATAAATTGAGAAATTATTCATATGACTTGCATTTTTATTTAGGACAGTATTCAAGAATCAACTGATTTTTCAAAATTTGAAAGTCAATGAGTTAACATTATAAATAACCTAATATTAATGTTCAATTTTCTATTGAGATTGAAAACATACTATGATTTATTAATAGTGAAATGTTTACATTATTAACTTCAAGCTGTTTAAGGGAAATCCAATGTGTTCAGTAAATACATTTTGTGAGAATAAATATTTCATGATGAAGAAAGAATCTATTTATTAGTATGTAATGGTACATTTCTCCTTAACTAGACCTGAAATCTTAGCACTATGTTCTATTTACAGCTGTACCATAGGCTTGATGAAATCTAGTATAATTTAATCAATTTTAGCAGATATGCGTATTTGAGTTTTATGTAACTTTAATTAATATACATTTTAAAACAATACTTTTGAATTATTAAATTGCTTCGAATTGTTTTCATTAATAGAGTTCATAATATTACTGCCTAAAAAGTCATATTCGTTACCAATGTCATTTTACTGTAGTCCCTCTCCTTTGTTTTTTCTGAGTAAATTAAATGCATGGCTTAAAAACCAAATTCCTATACACTGAGTACAATAATCAAGATACTTCTTGGTGATATAGAGAAACATATAGAAAGGATTGGTGTAATTGAACCAAAGAAAGTGTAGAGGTATGGAAAATAAATGAGTTATATACATACAAATAAGCTTTAAAAAGAGTCTTCTAATATTCACTGTGAGGAACTAGTCTTTGCAGAGAACCCTAAAAGCTAATTTTCTAAAGCAATTTTTTTGTATTAGTTTTTGTGATCATACACATTATAGAAAGGTAGTAACTAAATAAATATTATCTTAGTTTAATTGGATTAAAAATTAGAAATGCAAATTCTCCTCATACTATATCTATAAGCCCTCATCTCTGCTTTTATGGTAATACCCTTTTAATGGTTTAAGCCTATGAAGAAAAAACACTGAAGATTTTTAACTAGCCACTTTGCAGGGGGCAGAAAGGAGCAAAGAAGATTTAGTGGTGAAAAGAGCAAATAAATAGGTGCTCCAAGATTAAAAAGAGGGTAGAAGTGCATGCTGAGCTGTTGAAAGACCTCTCTGTGTTTAAAGAAAAATATTGTTTGGTGCTTTCACCAGTGCATGATCAAAATAAGAGGTACAAATTAGTTCATGGCTGCTGAAGCTACAAAACATCATGCAGAGCGCTGTCTTTGGGAACGTTTTAATGAGGAGAAGAGGTCATCAGAGTGTGACATTGCTTTTCAGAATTCTTCAAGAACAACACAGACTTCCTGTTCCAAATGTGGTAGAGAATAAAACAACCTTAGTAGTAATCGTACAACTTTTGAACCATGTTCCTTGGAAATGCTGTACCGTGCTCATTTTGTAGCTTTAGTTAGCTATCTCAAAGGAAACGCTTCCATATTTTCCATGTGCCCTTATTTCAAAAGTACAGTGAAACGGTGGAGCTTTAACATGGATTATATTTATAAAATAAAGTTTTATTCAGGCTTCTAAAGAGATTTTAATGTTTTCATTGCTCCAGGTGAAATGGTACACGGTGGCTCTGTTCATTAACATTTAGCATCAGTGCAAAAAAATCAAGGATTACCACATACAGCATAAAAGGAGGGATAGTATGACTTTGAAATTAAATTCACTACAATCTTAGTTTTGACGCATTTCAAAATGTGATTTTAAAATGTATAAGTTGTTAATGATATTCTAGGTCAAATATTCATAGTCCAATATCAAGTCCTACAGAGACTGGCATTATTCAAATGTGCAACGTATTTGAGCAGGAGCTGAAGAGGTTTTCCTGATGCTTTATAAATAAGACATTTATTTTAGTTTCAAAGGCCAGTATTATAACATTATTTAATACTTTAAGTATAATTGGTGCATTTATTTCCACTCTACCACAAAGCTATAGCATACCTTTTGTTTTCCATTAATATGAACATATTTGTAAGATGTGTATAATTAGAGAAAGTATTTGGGTTCATATACTTAATGCAGTTATCAAAAAAGGGCGAAGAAGACTTCTAATTTTTCGTATAGCAATGCTCACAGTCTTATTAACCTGTTTTCATGTAATTTTTTCCTTCAAAATAAATGATTCAAAACTAACCACATTTACTCTTGATATGTAAAAGTAATAAAAAGAAGTGAATAAAAAAAATTTCAGAGACCCAAAGGGAAGGGTTTGAACTAGAATTTAGGTGGAAAACAGGTCATTTCTGTGCATAGTAATGTTTCTGATTAGCTTTTAAGTAAGAGGTGATTCAATTTGTGTACAATGTGTAATTGATTTAGAAGCAGCAATATATGGTATACATTTTTCCTTCCCTCTTTCTTTTTATTCTTATTTTTTATATCTAGCATGAGAACAGAAGTCAAGCATAGACACCCTGCTTTAAATATGATAAAGGATAAAAGCTGTCATTCTAGTTTCACAGCTTTTCAACTATTTAATCTAAAAGTTTCTGAACTTACACAGATCATTTACTTGACTCAGTCTTTTATATTAATTTTATTTCTTTTAATGTATGCAGCCTTTGTTCTTAAATATTCTTATTCATAAACCAGACACATTTAAGTTGACATCCTTAGCATGTAGAATTTTTCTACAAAGACCTAGTGAGGCAGTTATTTTTAGCTTAAGCTTTTAGTCTGGATTGACTGGCCTGCTATCTCTTGGCTTGGTTTGCCAGCTTTTTCTGTCAGTGATTACACATCAGGAGCTTATGTTGATCTAATTTTTTTTTGTTGTTGCTATTGTTTTGCATTATTACTGCTCAGGACCTGTTCTTCTCTTTTACCTGCTTAACTAATTCAATAGTATTCTACTTCATAAACATCGCTCTCTAATCTTAAAGATGTCTTAGGCATCTAAAAAGCTGCTATTCATAAAGTTTTAGCGTTTACTACAGTACCATAGGTTAAGCTCTGAAAGATAACACAAGAACATGAGAAGTAAAGAGGTAAATTTTCTTTTTCTTTTAATTATTTCAAAGAAAATTCAGTCAGGAAAAAAAAGCTACATTTTTGGGAAATCAACAAGAGGGGCATGAAAAGTCTTTAATTTAAATGATTAAATTATGTTTCCCAGAAATCATTTATTGGCAAAGAATGTTTTTCCCCATCCCCCTACTTTTTTTTTTTTTTTCTGAGACAGAGTCTTGTTCTGTCACCCAGGCTGGAGTGCAGGGGCGTGATCTCAGCTCACTGCAATGTCCACTTTGTGGGGTTCCTCAGTCCCCTGTGTAGCTGGGAATACTGGCACACGCCACCACGTCTGGCTAATTTTTGTATTCTTAGTAGAGATGGGGTTTCACCCTGTTGGCCAAGCTGGTCTCGAACTCCTGGCCTCAAGTCATCTGCCTGCCTTGGCCCCCCAAAGTGCTGGGATTACAGGCATGAACCACCGTGCCTGGCCAGACTTTTCTAATTAAGGAAAGAATTATTTTCGTTTGGTACATAACACGTTTGTAGTTTTGTTGCCGAGAATCTAAACATAAGGTATTGTGAGGTAAACAAAAATTAAATCACTCTTTGTCATTATGTAACTTTTGAAAATTGACAAAAACTGAAAAGATTATAAGCAACTTAAAAATCGATGATAGCTTTTATTGCATACATTTATTTTCTTTTTAAGCACTGTAATAATTTATTTTCTAAAGTAGTCTTAAAACTGTTTTGAAGAAAAGCTTAAAAATTAATGAAACAAAGCTACAAAGTTGACAATGTATTGAAAAGAGGACAGATAAATGAGATAAAAGACAAAAAACACAATTGGTGAAATTTTATATGCATATTAATTAAAATATTCACTGTAAACATTCACAACAAAATTTAATGATGCTTTGCCATTTCAGGAAAAGATTTCTCACTTTTTTCCAGCTAACTAATATTCTATAGCTTGTTTAAAAGTTGTTTTAACGCTATAGTTCTCAAAGAATGTTCTATAGTTCCCGAGGTGTCTCCTAAAACATTTTATTGCTAAAATGTTATTTTCCATTTTCACAGTTTGAATATTTGCACTTACTGTGCAAAAGCAATGGTGAATAAATTGCATGTGCCTTTTTATGAATGAAGGCCGTGGCACCAAACCGCTAGTCAGTCATTATATTCTTCACTGCCATGCACTCACAGTTAAAGAAAACAATGCCAACTTTACTTAGGATTGCCTTTGATGAAGCTGTAAAAATTATTAACTTTATTAGACCTGATCCTTGAGCATATTCAGTTTTTCGAGAGTTATACTTAGCTGATAATATTCTAAGCTTTGATCTTTTTTGCATATTTAAAAAAATTCACTGTAGACCTGAATAGCCAACTACTTTACCTGATGCCAGACCCAAGAAGCAGAAATTTGTTCAAATCCTTAAGAAAACATTAAGAAATAGCATTTTTGAACAGTGCCATATAAACAACACTAAAGGATATGGTTTATGGTAGAGTTAGGGGATTTCCATGAGTAATTTTGATTACATACATTTCTTTGACTTATAGGCCAACTTTATGCACTAATTCCTTAAAATGATGCCGTTGGCTTCTCTGCAGTACATCTTATCACCTGCTATGCATGTTTTGCTGATCTAGGGGAAACAGCATACTTTATGATGGAAAGAAAAAAAGCCAACCATTCTGACCTCGCCATCAAATGTGCTTTACAGGCTTTTGGAGCATAAAGTGAAGCATAATGACCTAATATGATTATAGCAAGAGTAAAACTTCAAAGGAAAATTTTTAGGAGTGCAGAAAGTGGCAACAATAATTAAGCACCTGGATCTTACTATTTATTGTGCCCCTGTGGGAAAAGCTCATCTCAATTCACTTTATATTTAATGTGCGTTAATATCTCAAGGGTACTAATACTGTAAATCATTATTGCAATGGATACCTCTTAGGGCAGAGGCTAATCTAAATTTTATCATTGCTTAGCAAACTCTTTAAGGGGAGTGGAGATGATGATAGAAACAAGATGGAACAATACTTGAGGAAACAATTTTTTTTCAAGTACACTCATGTTAGCTAGAAAAAAATGTTTAAATATAGACAGTGGACAGTGCTAATTAAAACCATTACTTTATTTTCTTATTTATTTTTGAGGACTCTTTCTATGAGGCAATATTTTGTATGCAGTTAGTTCAAAATAATAAAAACATAATATGATTACACTTGCTTTTCTAATATATGTAAGGTTACTAAATTAGTAAATGAGAAATCTATTCTAGATATAAACTTTCATGATATCTTTGTGACCAAGGTAAAGATCTATGTTATGGATGATAGAATTGTTAATGAATTTTAGCTGTCTTACAGACTAGTCCTAATTAGTGGGTTCCTATTACCTCAGAAGGAAGTCTACAGTGGCTGGTCTTTGTGCCCTGTTCAAAGGCACATGGTTTCTATCCTGTCTAAAATATTTATTCATTATTTCCATGAGCATATGGATGGCATTGATGACATATTGGCTCAGTTTACAGATGATGTGAAAATGCAGTCACATCTGTTTTCCAACTAGATTGTATATTTAATAATTATTTATAAATCAACTTACTTTTAAAAATTTGCTGCACATAAGGCAATAGCATAAATCAGATCTTGGGTCTTAAACGTACCAAATATAATTAGTATTAATACACATTAATGTAGATTCTATTAAAGTAAAAGGAAAGTTCATCCATACAGTGTCACATAAATTTGTGTGTATACTACTTTATAGAAAATTTTAACTAGAAAGATTCTGCAAAGGGAATGAAGATGAAGTCTTTGAGAAATATAGTGCAAGCTGAGTGCAGTGGCTCATGCCTATAATCCCAGTACTTTGGGAGGCCAAAGTGGGCAAATCGCTTGAGCCCAGGAGTTTGAAACCAGCCTGAGCAATATGGTGAAACACTATCTCTACAAAAAATGAAAAATTAGTCTGGCATGGTGGTTTGTGCCTGTAGTCCCAGCTACATGGGAGGCTGAGGTGGGAGGATTGCTTGAGTTCAGGAGGTTGAGGCTGCAGTGAGCTGGGATTGTGCTACTGCACTCCAATCTGGACAACAAAGGGAAACTGTCCCCACCACTCTACCCCAAAAAAGAAATATTGTGCAGAATAAAGACAGCAGGACTGAAGACACATGAGTAAGCTCTAAATGAGCTAACTGGAATGATTATCTGGAAATTTGTATGTTTTTAAACTCGAGATTCTGACCACTTGTCTCTTATCGGTTTCTTCACAGGACTTTCACCAAGTTTTAACTGTGTAGTATTATTTTCTTGTAGGTTACTATATTACCATTTTCATCTCCTTCTCTCTGCATTTGAGAAAATTTCTGCCATTTGCTTACATGTTTGCTTATATATTTGTCATGCTGCCATAAAGAGCACGTTGAGGATAACAATGAAAGAGTCAGATTAGGCCTCAGCTCTCATGAAATTCATAGTCTAGCTAGTGAATGGATAAGAAAACAAACTTCTAGCACTCTGTGATAAATGCAGTGTTAGTGAGAATATAGGAAACTTTCAAGAGAAAACAACACACCCCACAATTGGTTAATCAGAGATTTCTAGTGGATGGGGCTTCAGATCTGGAAAAGTGAACAAAAATAAGTTTTTCAAGTAAGAGTGTGTGTGTGTGTGTGTGTGTGTGTGTGTGTGTGTGTGTTCTTGCATGTTTGGTGGCAGGAATATAGTGATATAGACAGGAATACAGAAAAAAATGACTGAATAATAAGCATCATAGCATGAGGGGAAGGAGAGCCACTGGAAGTTTATGGTGATAGAAAGTTTATGGTGATAGGAAGCCACCACTGAAGGGGAAAATGTACATCAGAAAAAGGCATCTGGAAGAATGATGATACCCATCTTCTCCACAATTTGGCTAAGAACTAGCCTCAGAAATTATAGAACGTAAGAATATTGGGTTTTTAGTAGGGATGAGGTTTCACCATGTTGGCCAGGTTGGTCTCAAATACCTGTAATCCCAGCTACTCAGGAGGCTGAGGCAGGAGAATTGCTTGAACCTGGGAGGCAGAGGTTGCAGTGAGCTGAGATCCCACCACTGCACTCCAACCTGAGCAACAGAGTGAGACTCAGTGTCAAAAAAAAAAAAAAAAAAAAAAAAGTAAGAATATTGGGAATACAAAGGTAGCAAGAAAAACACCATGCAAGGAGGGTTGTTTTCTAGATTTTGCTCCTTTACTATTTTCTTGGTGAGCCTTGGGGATTATTATATTATCTTTAATACACAGTGACATTTAATGCTCTCTGTATGCCGTATTTAAAAAGGTGACATCTTAACATTTTATTTTACTTTTATACTCCTTTGATCCACTACTGAGTGATATACCTGAGTCAATTGAGGGAGGAAAAAAAAAAGGACAAGGGTGAGATTGAAAAAACAAAAACTATTTCAACAAAAAGAGAACAAATGATATCTAAAGAACCACTGTCTCCTGAGTATACACAACAACCTGTCCAGATATTGGGACAAGAGAATGAAGGACTCCTGAAAAAAGAACCCTTCGACAAAATAAATTAAATAAATAAATATTGCCAAATGGGATTTCTTCCAAATCTCCAATGATAGTAGATTTCTGGTTTATTGGTCTTTACCTTAATTTCAACCTTTCTGACTGGTTTTAACTTAGATGAAGCTCCTGAAAACAGTACATGTCTGGACTTTGGTTTTTTTTTCAATGTAATAATTCGTGTCGTTTAGTTGATGATAATAATTTGTTTACTTTTACTGAAAGCACTGATATGTTTGCACTTACTTCTATTGTCTTTTTCTGTTTCTATTCTTTTAGTGTTTAGCAAATGTATCTACCTCTAGACTTTCTAAAAATCCCTATTTGTTCTATTTTTTTCTTTACCTTCAAGTACTCCAAGATTACTCATTGAATTACTCATTGAATCCATCCTCTCATTTTGCTTTTACCACCCAGAAACACACATCTCAAACTATCAGTAGTAAAAGTTTGTTTTTTCCTCAGTCAGTAACACTGAGGCAGTCAAATATCTAAAACAGTTTCACACAGTTTCTGTAAGTACTGCAGATCAATAACAAGTAATTCATGCACAGGTGCAGATCAAATGATCATACTTTGAGAAGCACTAGTCTAGAGTTTTAGTTTAGCTTTGATTTATAAAAATAAAAATTAGTTATTTTTATATAAAAATAGTTAAATTGTTATATTGACATAGTTTATCATTTTTATGCTCATAATTGTTTCATATAAACCACACCTTCCCCCGGCATCAGTTATATTCTTGTTGAATAATTCTTTTAGTTATTGTATGTGTAGAAGTTGATTTACTTTGCCCTCACCGTGGAGTGTCAGCTTAGCTAGGTATAAAATTTTAAATTGATAATTATTTTCTCATTACTACTTCATTGTCTTCTAGCCTCATTTTTGCCAATGAAAAGTCTCAATTATTCTATTTCTCATTGCTTTTAAGCTGATCATTATTTTCTCATTACTAGCTTTAAATATTTTTGTTTCATATATTATGTTTTGCTGGGA
The DNA here is from genome assembly GCF_000001405.40 of Homo sapiens. NCBI lineage: Eukaryota > Metazoa > Chordata > Mammalia > Primates > Hominidae > Homo > Homo sapiens. Next base: position 116,128,184 of record NC_000007.14, on the reverse strand, counting down.
GTGGTTTAACCTGGTTAAACTTCCTGGGTATGTGGAATGTGATTTCAAATTAGTGTGCCCAAGTTTCAACTTTATTGACTATTTTGCATTTTACATGAGAGCATGTTAGTTTGTGCAATAGAAAAGTTATGTAATTTGAGTTACTGCTTTTTTAGTAGCTGATCTTTTCTCTTGTGGTTTTTGGCTGGCTTTAGTAGTATATTTAGAAAAGCCTTATAAATTCAAAGACTGTACATATATTTAGATGGATTAAAAAAAGAGTAGTTTGACAAAAACATTGAGAGGTAAATGAACCAGGAATAACATAAAAGTGGGGTGTGGGTGTGTGGGCTAGAAAAGGCAACATAGATAAGCCATAACATGCTATGAATTTGTAACATGGAGGACAAGCCATTACTTAGAAATATAAGGGAAACAGGCTCAAATTTATGTCTTCTTTCACATAAGTTGCCTTTTTATTCCCAATATTCTTATCTTTTTTTTTTTTTTTTTTGACACTGACTCTCACTCTGTTGCCCAGGCTGGAGTGCAGTGGTGGTAATAGCAAAATGAGAGGATGGATTCAATGAGTAATTCAATGAGTAATCTTGGAGTACTTGAAGGTAAAGAAAAAAATAGAACAAATAGGGATTTGTTAGAAAGTCTAGAGGTAAATACATTTGCTAAACACTAAAAGAATAGAAACAGAGAAAAGACAATGGAAGTAAGTGCAAACATATCACTGCTTTCAGTAAAAGTAAACAAATTATTCTCATCAACTAAACGACACGAATTATTACATCGGATAAAAAACCAAAGCCCAGGCTGGGCGCGGTGGCTCACGCCTGTAATCCCAGCACTTTGGGAGGCCGAGGCAAGGGGATTACGAGGTCAGGAGATCAAGACCATGGTGAAACCCCGTCTCTACTAAAAATACAAAAAATTAGCTGGGCGTGGTGGCGGGTGCCTGTAGTCCCAGCTACTCGGGAGGCTGAGGCAGGAGAATGGCGTGAACCCAGGAGGCAGAGCTTGCAGTGAACCGAGATCGCGCCACTGCACTCCAGCCTGGGTGGAGTGCAGACTCCGTCTCAAAAACAAAAAACAAAAAACAAAAACAAAAACCAAAGCCCAGACATGTACTGTTTTCAGGAGCTTCATCTAAGTCAAAACCAGTCAGAAAGGTTGAAATTAAGGTAAAGCCCAATAAACTAGAATCTACTACCATTGGAGATTTGGAAGAAATCCGTATTTGGCAATATTTATTTATTTAATTTATTTTGTCGAAGGGTTCTTTTTTCAGGAGTCCTTCATTCTCTTGTCCCAATATCTGGACAGGTTGTTTTGTGTACCCAGGGGACAGTGGTTCTTTAGGTATCATTTGTTCTCTTTTTGTTGAAATAGTTTTTATTTTTTCAATCTCACCCTGCTCCTTTTTTGTTTCCTCCCTCAATTGACTGGGGTATATCATTCAGTGGTGGATCAAAGGAGTGTAAAAGGGAAATAAAATTTTAAGATGTCACCTTTTTGAATATGTCCTTTTTTCTATCCACGCTCCTCCCTAATTACTAATTTAATAATTATATACTAAAAGTCATTTTCTCTCAGATTTTGAAAGTGTATTGCTATTGTGTTCTTTTTTCACTAAAATTTCTTGATAGTGTTCCTTTTTTCATCTCTTGGGCTGGGTGCTTGATGGCCTTTTCCATCTGGAAACTAATGAGCTTCAGTTCTAAAAATAATGTCTTTATTCTTTGTTCATCCCTTTGCCCTCTTTATTTTCTTTTTGGGACTCCTATTAGTTTACTTAATGTTATACTTCCATGATTGAACCTCTATCTTACTTTTTCCCTTCTTTTATTTCCATCAACCTCTTTTATTTCTGCATTTTAAGATAGTCCCTTACATTTATTTAGTGAGTAAAAAATTGATTTGTCCATTTTTAGTGCATCTGGATTTTTATTTCATAAAAGATATTGTTTTATTTTGAGGTTATCAATTTCAGGCTTTGTTTTTTTCTTTTATCCCCTGAACACATTTTCTCATTTTCTTCTGAGTTTTTTTCCTTATACCTTTCTTATTGGGAGATTTTTATACTGCTTGGCTTAAATTCTCCAATGTGTAAATCCCTATCATATTTGAAGAGGACCAAATGCAGGGTGGGGATGTGGGAAGCTAGCTGATCCTAGTCACATTTTCTCATGATCTGTTTTCACTACTGGGCCTCTGTGGTATCAGGGTGGCTCTCCTTGCTGTCCTGTACAAGCTCTGAGATTTCAGTTTGCTCAGTTCTTTCATACTGGCTCTTGATGGTTTGCAAATCACAACTTAGCTTTCATCTCAATTGTTTAATATTGTTAACTGTCAGCTGGATATTTTCTTCTGAAAGGCACTTCAAGCTGCAAATATGTCTTACTGAAGTTGTCCAATCCCCGGAGGCACCAACCTTACCCTCTTTTGGTCTTCGTTTCTCTAAATGGCATTAGTTTTGAGTTCATCCTTGATAGCTCTTTATATTTAATTGAATCAACCAAGTCTCAGTCAATTTTCTTTTTTCTGTGTAGGATCTTTTGGAATTGTCCCTTCCACTCTATCTCGGTCACTACCATACATTCCGCCAACATTACCTCTTTCCTAAACTAATGTATTCTCCATGCTTCCTTATTCAAGACCAATTCATGCATTGCTACCTAATTGTTCCAAAGCACAACCATGATGGTCTTAGCTGCTCAAAAATTTCGATGATTCTTAGTTTGATAGATTAAAGCCAAATTTCTTAACTTGGAATTTAATATCTTCCATACTCTAGTTCTAAGTCAGCTTTCCAACATCATTGCCTATTGTTTCATGTCACATTTTCTATACATCATACTAAAAGGAATGAACTAAGTTCTCACACCCATCCTTGCTTTATCAACTCAGTGCCTTTGTATGTGATAAGTCTGCCTCCAATGCTTTCTCTAATACCCTGCAACCCTGCATATTTAAACCACACCTGCATTTTAAGATAAATCACAGATTATACTTCTTTCATCAAGTAATTTCATCTTTATTGAGGTACCTGCTGTCCATTTCTTATTATACTCACTGTTGCTGAGGGCCAGTTGAGTAATGGATTTACTTTGTACTCACAAAACATCTTATAACATCTTTCTAATTGTGGGCCTTCAGTATTTGTTGAAGTATGAAAATTCAGGCTGTCTGCATAATATGTGGTATAGTTTCTTAAAAATTAATTACAGAATTATTATCTATTGAATACATGTGGATCTTCTCACCCTAGTAAGATACTTGAGGATATAATGCAGGCCATTTGCATTCTTTGTTTACCTCTACCATAGCTTGCACAGTGCCTTGCATACATAGTGCTCTTTTATGGTAAAACAGCAATATATACAGCATAGAAGTAATTGTCCTTCTATGATGCCTTTGAAAATGTCAGTTTGAAAAATTGGGGGAAAATTTACATAGGAGAAGCATTTTCTTTCCTCTCCTCAAGATAGAGTCAGTTGCTACCCCTTAAAATAGTCTAATTATTTTACTGGAGACCTAGTTATAAAACTACTTGCAGTTGCACTAGAAATAGAATTCTGGTGACACTTAATGAGATTTTTCAAGTTCACATTACTTATTCTGCAGACTTCTTCATTTGAGTAGATTATTTAATATTTTATTTGTTTTATTATTCACATTTTAGGGGTAAAATATTTCCATTCACATTCAAAGTTGGTTGAATTATACGCCAAAGTTTGATTGCATAGAACTTTCTCCCAGTCTTGCTATTTCCAGTGTGCAGTTGCCTAACGTATCTGTAATTCACATCCCTGGAGCAGATTTTATGCTGCTGCCCAAGAAGTAAAACTTTGTCCTACCTTAGAATGCAAGTTAACATTTCATTACCTGTTTAATAACAATTTCTTTTTTCCCCCGTTTTTCCCTCTCTTTGTCTGAGTGAGCTCCTTTCACTGTCTGCACCCAAAGTAACTATATTCCATTAAAAACTTTCGTGGTTATATTATACTATATGTTTTGGAATATGTTTAAATGTATCCTGGCATTTTGGGAGATAACTTTTCAATTTGTCACTGGCATTTTACATAATAAAGGTGGATAAAATTAATCTTTTTCCACTCATGGAATATAGTTCCAGCAATCTTTCCCCACTCTGTACTCTCCTTCTTCTTTCCTTGTCACTTACCCATAGACAACTAAAAGTCCTTTAATTGCAGGAATTCTAATCTATCCATTTCTATATCAGTCATTTATTCTTTGAGCTCTTGTGTTATGTTTAATATCATGCTAAGATTTGTGGCAGATATAGACACATTTAAACCATGGAACTTCCTTTGCAGACATAATACTTATAAAACAATTAGACAATAATTAAATCATAAACTTGGTGTTAATAACCATGAATGTAAGAACTTAGAGAAGAAGGAAGTGAACATGATAGGAGTAGTAGGGGAAAAGTTATGAAAAGGTGGAATTTGAGTTTGATAAAAGTACTCAGAAATAGATAAAAAGGGCAGTTGTGTTTGAGATTTGAGTGTGGTGAAGCATCAATAAAGAAAAGTACCCAGTGGGCAGTCATTATGTTTGCAAAAGTGGAGTGTGGGGATATGCGGGTTAGACCAGGCTTGATATAAGTGACAACAGGATCCACGTAAGCATTCAATTTTTTTTTTGTAGGGAAGTGGCATGACAAAAATGATGTTTAAACCCACTATTTCAGGCAAGACTCAGAAGGGCTTGTGGTGTATCATAAAAGATGAGGAACTCAAAAGATGACAAAGTAGCTAATTGCAAAGATTAAAGGTAACTGCAAATAGAATGCTTTCAAGACAAACTAGAATCATAAACTAAGAGAAACTGACTCAGAATGAAAGAAAAAGGAGAGGTTGGATCCAAGGGACAAAAGGAGAGGCTTCAGTGTTTCAATGTTACCTTACGTTCTTGCAACAAACCCCCAATATTTTTGAATTTCAATGCATCTTGTTCAAGTGCAGTTATCTTGCTGGGGCCACTAGGTGGTGATCTTTGTTAGTTGGTAACTTGTAGTTTTTTAAAAAAATGTGAGTTCAGCAATTGCTTGTTTTTGTTTCACACAATCCCTGATATATAACATTCATAACTATGGATATATGTTCATTAATGTTTTCCTTTCTCTGTTTTTTTCTTTTTGATTTGTACTCTCAAGTAAGATGGGGGGATTGGTTAAAAAAATGTAGATCTCAGTTCTCACGCTTGTTTGGCTACTTGGCATTTCCCAACCCTGGGCACTGCTCTAAGGGAGAATGAAGCGGGAAAGGGCATCTATTACATAGCTGACATTTATTGTAGTCATCCACTAGAATTTCCACACTAACACCAGTGTTGGCCACAATGAGGAAAGTGGGGGGAAGGGGCATAGGCAGCTGGGCTAAATAATCATTCACTTGCCATCACCTTGTTCCAGTCGTCCTTAACCTTCATTGCTTCTACTTGCCCTAGAACCTCATCTTCTGCTTCTTATATGCTGGAGTTCATATGCTAAGCCAATGGTTACTTCCTCCAAGTTGAAGAAAGCCTGCTACCTGGCAGATAAAAAGGAATATAACTTGCTAAAGGGCCTGGTACATAGCAGACACTGCCAATGCTTGTTGAATGAGTGATTCAGTGATGAATGAATGAACAAGCATCACTAATGCAGTAGAGGGAAGAGATGTCTTGGTCCCAGAATGCTGAATGCATGTTTCCATGGAAATCTTTTAAAACGTGTAGTGTGCTGTTCAGTGTTACGGGAGCAGGTGTGTATGGCTTACCTGATTTCTTAGACCCCACTTACATAGAAACCTAACCACCATGGCTAACATTGCTCCATAGGAAAATGCTTTTTGAGTTCCAAACATTGAACTTATTAATGAACTTTTGCTAACCTGTGACTTTATAACAAGTTCTTATTAAATGAAATAATAGCACAGTTCATAAAAGTCACTTCTGAAGTGCTTAATCACAGTAACATGTAATTAACAGTAAAGGCTTAAAGTGCAAACAGGGGTCTTATCTATCCAAACACTTTTTTAATGCCAAGTTTCCTGATGATCTTTAATAAACCCTTGCAATTGTAACAACAATTACAATTTCAGTGGCTTCAGTAAGTCTGAAGACTCCTCCATAATTTATTTCCAACATTTCCCTGTAGAGAAGAAATTCTGGGCACCTAGCTACAGCTATACATTTGTTACCTGTTCGGAAAATTAGGTTGTCAATTCACTCTTTAGTAGAAGAAAGGAAGGTTATTTCCTTTCCTCCCAATAGCTACATTTTAATGAATTTTTTATTTTACTGATTTATTCTTGAGTGCTTTTTCCTTTCCATTTGACCTTTTGGACCAATCAGGGCTTTTAGCCAAGGATCAAAGGAATTTGAGTCCTGGCTTAGGCAAATCCCAGACTCATTTCTTTTACCTTATTTCCCTGTCTTATCTCTATCTGAAAAAGATAATCGTCACATAATATTAATCATTTGGCACCCTGACCTCTGAAATAGTGAGTCTGTAAAACAAAATTTCTGGATAGCAAGTCAATATATTTTAATGCCACTATGTCTTAAAATAGTAATTTGCTTCTATATATTTATTTTTTGTTGAAGTGAAATTCACATAACCTAAAACTCACCATCTTAACTATTTTAAAGTGTACAATTTAAGGACTTCCAGTACATTCACAATGATGTCAACCATCATCACTATCTAATTGCAGAATATTTTCGTCACCCCAGAGAGAAACTCCGTGTCCATTAGCAGGTACTCCCCATTTCTCCCTCCTTCCAGCTTCTGACAACCACTAATTGGCTTTTTGTTTCTATGAATTTGCCTATTCTGGACATTTCATGTATGTGGCTTTTGCAATATGTGGCAAAATGCAGCTTTCTGTATCTGGCTTCTTTTACTTAATGTAATATATTCAAGGTTCATTTATGTTGTAACATTAATGGTATTTTATTCCTTTTTATGGATGAATAATATTCCATTGAGGGTATATACCTCATTTTGCAGATTTATTCATTCATTGATAAACATTTGGGGCTGTTTTTACTTTTTTGGCTCTTATGAATGATCCTGCTATGAACATTTGTGTATAAGATTAGTTTGACCATTTGTTTTCAATTCTCTTGGGTGTATACTTAGAAGAGCAATTGCTGAGTCACATGGCAATACTCTAACTTTTTGAGCAACCTACTTTTATTTTTACATATAATAATACTGGTTATCCTTCTGAAAGTTATTAGGTAGGGTTTTTTATAGAACCAGTAAATATTACAGGCACATGATGCATTGGACTGGAACACAATTTATTAGCTCTTATAGCTTTAATCAATAGTTGAGGCCCCAAAGACAGAGTTATTTAGATAGTGAAGATATAAAATGGCATTTCTTCAATCAAAATTACTGAACTATACCTCTCCCTATTCTGTGCTTTCATTCAACAAATATTCTTTGGGTCCCAGCAGTACATTAAGCACTATTTAGGAACTGTGAACACAGGCAAAAGACAAAACAAATTCTATGCTAATGAAACTATGTTTAAGAAAGCAAATAAATAATTTTAGATATGCATAAGTCCTATGGAGAAAATGATGCAGGGAGCTGGCATGCAGTCTCTATCACAGACTGTAAGGACAGTGCTTCTCAAATTTTAGTGTGCATGAGAGTCATCTGGGGATGTTATTAAAATGCAGATTCAAATTCAGTAAGTCTTGGGTGGCGCATGAAATTCTGTCTTTCCAACAAATTCCCAGGTGATGCCATGCTGCTATGAATGGGCAGAAAAAGCCTGACTGAACTAGTGACTTTTCAGTGAAGATGTGAATGTGGAGTGTGCATCAAGAGCCATCCAAGTCAAAATCTAGGAAAAGAAAATTCCATGGAGAGAAAGGAGCTTTTGCAAAGGTTCCATGGAGGGAGAAGTCTTGGTTATCCGAGAAAAAGTTATATGGAATAGCAGCCCATCTTCTTCCCTGAAACACAGGGGTTCTACAAACACAGAACAAGCTAGAAAGCATTTGACTCCCTGTTATACCAGTCACAGCCTATTCTCCACCAACAAATGTAAGAATTCATTCCCAGGCCCAGGTGCAACTTTGCATCAGTTTTCTTTATCTTACCGAATATATTTTTGCAAAAAAATCCTCTTCTCTCATAACATTCACTGCAGCTCTAATTTCTTTTTAATGTTTGGTTACTTTTTTTTTTTTTATCTTGTCTGTTTTACTTAACATTGTAAGCATTTCCAATGTAATTAACTATTCTGAACCATGACTTTATATGGATGTATCAAGCTATATTTAGAAATTCCTGGATTTATATAGTTTCCACTGTTTAAATTCCTTTTGGGAGAAGTATTTCAAACAAGACTATGATAAATTTTATTGTATATAAACCTAAGCCATATCTCTGATTAACTCTTTAGATTTAAAAAATATAATAACTGGATTTTGGTAAATAAAATGTAATTACCCTCTAGAAAAATTGTTCAAATTTTTACATTTATATTATCGGTGAATAGTCCTCATTTCCACTTCATTTACCTCCCATATTAACTGGCTAGTGTAATCATTTTATTTAACTTTTTAATGACATACAATTTACATACAATAAAATTCACACTTTTAAAGTGTATAATTCAGTGTTTTTTTAACATATATTCAAAATATTGTACGTATGATTTGGTTAATTCATTAAATTTATTGTGTTTAAGCTCTCATTTCATTTTTCTTGTTGTTTCTCAGAGATTTTCTATGTAGTTATTTGTATCATTTACAATTAATAAATGCATATTTTAAAATTAATTTTAATTCATATTTATCTTTCCAGACCTATTGCATTGGCTAGATCCATGTTTTTCTCAATTATTGCTAATACTATTTTTCTGTATAATGTAGTTTAGGGGTATTTGTTTTCAAGTCAAATGTGTCTGGGTTAAATATACCACTTCTTAAATGTGTAGCATGGGGCAAATTGCTTATGATTGTTGAGTTTCAGCTTCTCTATTTGGTAAAAATGGGAAGCATTAATAAATTTATTGAAGGATATAAAAAATAAAATGCTTAGCAAAGTGCTTAATGTGTGGTAGATATTGATTCATTTTTCATTGACTTTCTAAAGATCAATGCTGCTCAGGAAATAAAATCAGGTAAAGATGATCCACAATAAAATGCTTGTGCTAATATTAAATTATGCTCATATAAATACTGTTGTCATTGAAAGTTTTTTGTAGAAATCCTTGAGCTAGACTTTTTGACACAGATAGTTATTTTATTATGCTGCCGACCTATAACCAGGATCCCATTTATGCCAGCCCAGAAACATAGCTATTTGTGTCATTATAAACCTCCAGAGAATCTGCATTCTCCCTTGGATAACTCACAGATGTGCCTCCCAGCGCTTATAGCCATAAATTCTTAATCTCTAAATTAAATATCTCCTACTGTATCTTTGCACGTTTCTCTTTCGTTTTGTAATCTTTCATAATATGCAACTATTGAATTTGTTTTTGTTAGAGGAAAAGTGTTAGACACCACTAATCATGTCTAAATTCTTTAGATATACCTCATTTATTACATTCAAAATAGTGAGAGTGTCCTGAACAATTGTGTGTAGGTGCAGGACTTATATAGGGGGCAAAAGAGGTACCACAAAGCCTTAAAATTAATTTCCCCATTAGGAAAAGATGCCAGCAGGTAGTCAACTGATCAAAAGAAATGGTTTTAGCTTTTTATGATGCAGGCACAATGAGCTCATTATTTTTTATACATAACTGAATACAAACGTTTTATTGAAGAGCTTAATAAAAACTTTGAGAAAACATTTGATAATTTTAGAATTTGCAAACATTTTGCAGGTCCGAACTTATTTGAAATGGAGGGAATAAATAATTCAACAGAAAGTTTTAGTGTTTTCTAAATGTTGAAAACGGTTTTTCTTTGTTAGACTGACCATCAGTAGTGATATGGAATGATGATTCAGAGACAGGTTGAGTGAAATGTCTATTCTTGTCCCAAGTCAAGGCAGTCACTGAAAAAATTGCTTCAGGCCATAACTTTGGCATGCCATGGGTTAAATAAAGGTCAACTCTAAGAGAAAAATAAAAATCAGTTGATCTTTTGGTGTTAAAGGGGCAAAATAGTTATCATTTTAGATGCTTTTAGTGCTCTTATAAATTCAAGGATTTTGAATTTCTTTTTCCCTCAACTGAGAATTTTCAGGCCGGTGGTGTCCACAATGTATACGAGTGCCTTGGGGCATTTTGAAAGGAAAGAGAAGGAAATTTACCATATTTTAGAGCAATGTTCTTGCCTATACAGAATCTTGCATGATACTCAATAACTCAGTGATGTGGCTAGCCCACAGGGCTGAGAATGCTTTTTACATTTAATTTAATTGGTAGCTATTTGGACCATAGGTATCTAGAGAACTAGGTTCTAATCCCATCTTTGGCACACTGTTTATTTCTGTAAAAGAGATCAAAATACAGATTTGTAATTACTGTTCAGTATTTCTTCTAACTTATTCGTCTTTGTTAGGGAAAGGGTTAAAGATTGTGGAAGCAGTTTATCAGTCAATAACAGTTCGAGAACTCCACGTCCCTGTTTTAATTTTGGCTCCATCACATTCTTTAGATAGGATAAGAGAGGTTCCTGCTTGACACGGTCATTGAAATAATTGCCTATGATGATACCATCACATGGTAAGAGCTCATTAAAATCAACTTGTATTTGGGTTATTATTATTCCTATTCTGTATCTTCCGCTAAGAAAGTATTGTAAGCAGCAAAAATCACGGAGAGGTCTGTCCTATTGTCTGGTTAATTCTGACACTTACTAACAGCTGTGTAATAAATGCCATCAGCTGCTATGTGGTGAAATGTTGTATGGATGGTATAGACACTGGGGACATTTTGGTCATTAATTGGAGACTTTCTTGGATTCTGTGTGTAATTCAGGTAATTCTCCAACAAAGCAATCTTATTTAGTCAAGCAGATTAAATGAGAAGTAGGTAGGCGACCTCTTAATAGTTCCCAGGACAAATCAGACTCAATAGGTTTCCACCATAATTAATTTATTTGTGGGTCCAACAGAGTGGTTTATTTTTGTTGGATTCTTTCAAGGATGGCAAATGCTCCACATTAATGAGAGGAATCCTCTTTTTCTGTTTATTTTTTGGTTAAAAGATGTTATTACATTTGTTTGCATAGATTGAAAGAAAAAACAACTATTATGAAATAAAATCCTTTCCTTTCGAGAAAAGTCTCTTTCATCAGAATATAAAATTGAGTGATTTTCCCATTAAGAACTGATTCTTTACTGTAGAAAAAGTCTTCCTGTGACTAGTGATAAGTGACTGCGAAAATAAAGCTTATTGCAGATTATGCCAGACAAACTAGAGAACCTGATTGAAAGAATCAGTAGACCCTTCAATGAGAATCAGCCAGAAATTCTGTACATTTTGGGGACATGTGCTCTTATTTGCTCATTCATAGAATAGTAGATTCTATTATTTTTAGAGTTGTAAGGGGCCTTACAGGCACTGTGCACTGAAGATGGTCAGTAAATGTTTGCTGAATAAATGCGTGAATGTATTTTAATATTCCTCTCATTGTTGAAATCCTTTCTCTATTTTATATACTACAGAGAGTCATTTAGCTTGTGCTTGAACATTTCAACTTACTGAAAGCTTACAAAACTCTGGGGCAGCCTTTTTCATTGGTGTAACACTCTAATTATTAGATATTTCCTTTTTTCTTGAGCCAGATTTTATCACCATGTAATTTCCACCCTTAGGTTTTAGTTTGGTTTTATGGGGGAACATTAAAATAAATCTACTTCTCCTTCACATGAAAGTTCATCACATATTTCAAGACAGCTATCATGTCCCCCATATACTTCTTTTCTTCTCCAAGCTAAACTACCATTTTTAAGATGATAGTGTTTCTAGTTCCCTAACCATTTTTATTCTTCTTTTCCATTTTTTTGGTCGATGTCTCTAACATAGTTATTTTACTATCTACCATGTAATGAGTAAATTTTGAGCCAAGAACTGTGATAAACACTTTATATACATTATTTGATTTAAATACTCACACCAACCATGTAAAATATGTTCTTTCTAGTGAAAATACTGTGTCAAGGTCACCTAGTTAAGAGGCATGATTTGGATTCATATCAGCTGTAAATAACCACAAAGCCATGTACAAGTAACTTATCCTTTCTGTACTTCAGCTTTCTCATCAGAAAAATGGGGAATTATAATTATGCCTATGTCTTAGGGCTGTAGAGAGTAATAATGAACTAATATTTGTTAAGCACTTATAAAAACATCCGGCATATAAAAAGCACTCTAAGTGTCTGTGAAGCAAGCAAGCTGGTTTATGCTTTCACTCTATACTATATTCTCTCCCTATAATGTTTCTTTTTAAAGTGGATGTGGTATGCTGAATAATGAACCCCCAGATATGCCCATGTCCTAATCCCCGGAACTTGTGGATGTTACTATACATGGCAAAAGAAACTTGCATATGTGATTAAGTTAAGGATGTTGAGGTGGGGAGATTTTTGTGGGGTTATCTTTGGTGAACCCAAAGCAATCACACAGTCCTTATAAGAGGGATGCAGACGTCAGAGTAAAAGAGAAGGACATCTTACCATGGAACCAGAGGTTGGAGTGACACACTTCAAAGATGGAGGAAGGGGCCACAAGCCAAAGAATATAGGCAGCTTCTAGAATCTGAAAAAAGCAGGAAAGTGGATTATCCCATAAAGCCTCCTAAAAAAGCCAGCTCTATCCTGCTGACATCTTGACTTTAGGTTAGGGAAACTACTTTCAAACTTCTCTACTACAGAAGTATAAGAGCAAAAAATGTATGTTGTTTGAAGCCACGAAGTTTTTGGTAAATTTTTTTAAAAGCAGCCACAGGAAACGAGTGTAGTTTGTATCCAAAACTGTCTGAAACCATGTATTAGAAATAACTGAGGTCTAAAGAGCCTGAATTACTTCTGTGATGAGTATTATAGGCTCCGTGTTCCTAGTCAATATATAGAAAAATACATCTTAACATCCAGAAGGTTCCACGTTACATGTGATACCTCTAACAGCTTTTAAAAAGGGAAGGTTAATTAACAAAGGACCACACTACTGACATTAGATCTACCTTACTTTTCTTGGCTATCCCTCATGCTCATGACAGTCAGTGTGTGGGGAGATTTTTCTCTTCTGATGTCTTTGTCTTCATTCTCTGTCAAATGTCCTCTCTCCCCATTACTGGGGGGTGGCGGGGAGGGGGGTTTCCTTTGGTTCTTTGAGAGTGAGATGTTTCAATGTCCCTTCCTAGCTGATGTCTTTCTTTGATTCCTTCACATTTCTGTCATCCTTCTTTGCATGCTTCAGTCTCAACCGAGGGAGCCTCTGATAATTTTTTACCGCTCTTGCATTTCTCGGATGCTGCTTTTGTGAAGCGTCAGTTGTTTCTAGGTGGCAGAAGAAAGGTCTTTGACCAAGAGATCTTCTTCCTCAGATTCGCATGCCGTGGGGACCTACGTCTCTTCATCTTCTGGAAGTGTAGGATGGGAGTGTGCAGAAACTCTCTGTCTCCCTTGGAACTTCACCCCCACAGCATCCAGATGCCCTCAGCATCCAGAACATCTCTCAAATGTACAGAGGAGAATTGCTGCTTTTAGAAAAACAATCCCCCTTACGCTTGCCCTTTGCAAATTGTCATGGGCTTACGTACATCTACTGATTTATCCTAAATTCTCACCTTTGTTGTTTATTTTGTTTTATTTTTGTTTTAGAGGTCTCACAAAACACTGTTTGGATGCATTCACTGAAACTTTGATCAACTGAAATCCCCAAATCTATTTCCTATGAGTTAATGATGAGCCTGGATATTTTCTACCTGATATCCATTTAAATTTTGAGCCCAAATGAAATATTGTGTGTTTTTCGCTGAAGTGGGTTTGACCCATCATTCTAGCTTATCATACTATTAATAATAACAGTAACTTACTGAGTATCTACTATGTGTGAAGCACTGTTTGAAGTTTAAAGTATCAAATTACTATTAATAATGGTTACTAAATTATATTGTTAGGATAATAAATTAAGATAACGAGTTTTCTTTTTAAATGTGTTACTTTTATTTTTCCCAACTTACTTTTTTCTCCCTTATTTGGATAGCATCCATTCTATGTACTTCTCTAAGTCCTGTAAATATGTTGAACAACTAATGATGAATGAAAGGTTCTGTGTCCATCATTAACATTATTACTTCAGGTGACTTTCCAAAACTTGTGTCCGTTTGTCTATAAAGGGCCTTAAATGATAGAAATCTGAGACCTGAGAGTTATTTTCAGTATATCCATAAGTGAACATTTTGGGAAAGATTAAGTTTATGTTGAATTATTAATCAGCTGTCTTTGGAAATGGCAATTTTAGCAACTTTGAACCTAACTAATAATTGAGCTCACACAGATTTATTTTATCAGTGAACGCATTATAAGAATCTTAGTAAAAAGCTTTGCTGAAATTAATATTTACCTATGCTTTATTATAATCCTCCTGACAATCACCTGGCAAAGATATATCACTGACTCCTTTTTATAGGATGGTGTACTCATTTCCTAGGGCTATCATAACAAATGACCACAAACTGGGTGACTTAAGACAAGAGAAATTTATTCTTTCACAGTTCTGGAGGCCAGAATTCTCAAATCAAGTTGTCAGCAGGAGTGGTTCCTTCTTGAGAGCTTAGAGGGAGAATTCCAAGCTTGCCTCCTAGCACAACTCTAATCTCTGCTTTCTTCATCACTTGGGATTCTTTTCTTTCTCTGTCCATGTTCTCTGTGTCTCTTCCCCTCTTCCTGTAACACCAGTTATATTGAATTAAGGGCTCACCCTACTCTAATATAACTTCATCTTAATGTGTACCTTAATTACATTTGCAAAGACCCTTATTTCCAAATAAGTTCATATTTACAGGTACTAGGAGTTAGTACTTATTGTGGCAGTGGGGGAGATATAGTTTAACTGGCAGAAATAGGGAAAAGGAAAAATCATTAAAGTAAGAGGAAGCACACATTCAGAATATGAACCAAGGACTTTTGTCTTCATGCAATACTCTCTTGAGTCCAGCTCCCTATCTCCTAGTGAATTCCACTTTATTTTTCATGAATTCATAGACCAGCTGTTTAATAATCAATCTGCTTTAGAATTTCATGATGCCTAAAAATCAAGCTCACTAGCTCTTGGTTTCTAAAATCTGTCTTTTCCTATTTTTAATAAGTTTTTCTTATCATTAACTTTGGTTCCTCAAATACTTTTCTTGTTTCCAAGCTCACATAATTATTCTGGGCCTAGACATTTTAATTTCTTTAGATTGGTTTGCTGATCCGTTATTACCTACATTCCTCTATTGGGCTTCAATTTTGTTTTAATGGTTGTTTTATATATTCTAGTTTAAAGCATAATTTAGAGCCGTGTGGTTCTTTTTTTCTATACATATATCCATTGCTCCTGGGCTACAGTTTGTCATAGAAAACATTAGTCTCTTTCTAGAAACATCTTCCCTTTCCAGTTCCTCTACTGTCTTCCATTAGGAGGTTGACAATTCAATATTGGGCACCAATTGTCATGTGTACAGCTATAATCAGTTAGCCAAACAACCAATTAATAATTTTGGAGTTTGTATTATGTGCCAGAGGCTGTACTAGTTCTAATGATATGAGAAATAACATACAATGAATTTTACCCTGAGGAGCTTATATTCTAGTTGAAGGGAGGGGATAGTAAACAGGAAATTAGTGTGTGCTAATTGCTATGAAAATGTTTGAACAAAGGTGTTGCCTGTATACAAGTGGAACATCTTACCCTACTTTGAAATAATTGTTAGTACCATACTTTTGTAATCAGTTATTTGCTCTCAAGTAGTGTTCCCTTATTTTTCCAGATATTGTCTATCTGCCTTTTGGAGACACATGCTCCTATTGTATGTCCTGTTGTGTATAAGATGCAACTTATCACATTGAACATCCAATGTATGTTTTTGCCTTATAATAATGTACAACGTATGAATCAAATAAGAACAGTATTATTAAAGTTAAAAAACAGTAACTTCTCTCTTTTTTTTTCTTTTCAGAGTCCTATCAATGATTTAGTTCCCTAGAGAAAATCAGAAAGTAAAAGGTATGCAGTTTTCATACAAAGTGTTGCATAGACTTGTCTCAGCAAGACCACAAGTTTATTCAATCAAGTACTATCATTTACCAGGGTGTGGTATGATATCTTATAAACACTAAAACCAGAGTTTATCTAACAGAGTTATTTAAAAATATAACTTACAGCATTAATTCTAAATTCCTTGGGGGTTGGGTCTGTTTATTCCAGTTACTTCACATTAGTGTTATTATATAATGTCTTACCTAATATGGGAGTTTTTAGGGCCCAGAAAGAAAATGATATTTTCCCAGAAACTCTGACTGAGAATTTGGGTGGCTATTAGCAAGACATTTAGGTCCCCCAACAGCTTCCTTGTTTTACTTTCAGTCCCTTTTAAGAGGTTACTTCCAGGACAGCACTGTTCTTCAGTCTGCCATAGCTCAAGCCAGAAATTGAGTGTGGGAAATGCAGTATCCATTGTGGTCTGTTTTTCTGTGTGACAGTTGTTCCTATTTTGTGTTTGTTTCTCATTTAATGAGGATACAACTTTCATCCGGGGAGATGTATGGGTCACTTGTTAGTGCACTTAAATACACTAAGGCACTCCACCAGCTGGAAATTGTGACTTGTAGTTGAATTATTTTTGCACAGTGAATGGTTTTCCTTTTGACATATTTTAATATACTTGCACACTGAGAGCAAGAGTGGGTGAACAGAAAACAGACTGTTTTATTAACCCAGCAGTCACCTTTGAGGTTTGTTCATGTCCACTTTTTTTCTTGCCTTTGTACATAATCCCAAGAGACTGGTACCTGGCTTTGCTCAGAATAACAAAGTCAGGCACAAATCTCCAAACACAATTGTTAGCTGAATGCCAACTGTTTCTTCTCATCTTTTTTTTTTTTTTAACTTGAACATTAAGAATTACCTCTTTATGGATGAACCATAACCATTAAATAATGAGTTTGTTTTCTATTTCAAATACCTCCCTTATCATTTACTAAATTTATTTTATAGTATGTAGTCTCAGGTGATAAAATATTATTTTGTATGTGTTTTACAGTGCTCCTTTTTTTCCAAATCCACTAATAGTGAGAAGAAAAGAAGAGAAATATGTTACAAGCTTTAACTGGACTTCAATTTCAGCTGAAAGAACAATTAGGAGAAAAGGAGAGAAGACTTCAAATCAGCCAGGAAATCAGTGCCCATAGAACAGAGTTCCACATGCAGTTTTCATACAAACCAGTGTTGCATAGACTTGTCCCAGCAAGACCACAAATTTATTCAAGTCAATTACCATCCTTTACCAGGGTATGTATCTGTATACATATACAGCCGTAATTTCTAAGTAAGTATAGTAACTACCTCTGAAAATCTGTCTGTTTTAATTGTACTCAAAAAATTGAAGGAAAAAAACAAGAATAAAAACCCAGGGCTTCCTCCCAATTTCCAGTAAGTGGATACAATTTACATTAACTGACCCATTTAACAGCATGGAAATATTCAGCATGGAAGTATTAATGCAACAAAGAACCCAAAGTACATACTTTTCCCTTTCCTGTTATTATCATTATCATCTACATCATTGTCATGATACAACTACTACTTGATATTTTGGAGCACTTTATACTTCACAAAGAAGTTTTATATCATCTCATTTTGCTATTTGAATCAATCATTGTAGTATGCCATAATGAAGATTATCAATAGAGAGAAAATTTTTAAAAACACTCCAAGACTTTTAAAGCACAGAGAAGTGGTGTAGTGTGTAGGAAGGACTGTTTTTGTTTATTATTATACTTTAGGTTCTAGGGTACATGTGCACAATGTGCAGGTTTGTTACATATGTATACATGTGCCATGTTGGTGCGCTGCACCCATTAACTTGTCATTTACATTAGGTATATCTCCTAATGCTATCCCTCCCCCTTCCCCCCACTCCATGACAGGCCCTGGTGTGTGATGTTCCCCTTCCTGTGTCCAAGTGTTCTCATTGTTCAGTTCCCACCTATGAGTGAGAACATGCGGTGTTTGGTTTTTTGTCCTTGCAATAGTTTGCTGAGAATGATGGTTTCCAGCTTCATCCATGTCCCTACAAAGGACATACTATGCATCCTTTTTTATGGCTGCATAGTATTCCATGGTGGATATATGCCACATTTTCTTAATCCGATCTATCATTGATGGACATTTGGGTTGGTTCCAAGTCTTTGCTATTGTGAATGGTGCCGCAATAAACATACGTGTGCATGTGTCTTTATAGCAGCATGACTTATAATCCTTTGGGTATATACCCAGTAATGGGATGGCTGGGCCAAATGGTATTTCTAGTTCTAGATCCTTGAGGAATCACCACACTGTCTTCCACAATGGTTGAACTAGTTTACAGTCCCACCAACAGTGTAAAAGTGTTCCTATTTCTCCACATCCTCTCCAGCATCTGTCGTTTCCTGACTTTTTAAATGATTGCCATTCTAACTGGTGTGAGATGGTATCTCATTGTGGTTTTGATTTGCATTTCTCTGATGGCCAGTGATGATGAGCATTTTTTGATGTGTCTGTTGACTGCATAGATGTCTTCTTTTGAGAAATGTCTGTTCATATCCTTCACCCACTTTTTGATGGGTTTGTTTGTTTTTTTCTTGTAAATTTGTTTGAGTTCTTTGTAGATTCTGGATATTAGCACTTTGTCAGATGAGTAGATTGCAAAATTTTTCTCCCATTCTGTAGGTTGCCTGTTTACTCTGATGGTAGTTTCTTTTGCTGTGCAGAAGCTCTTTAGTTTAATTAGATCCCATTTGTCAATTTTGGCTTTTGTTGCCATTGCTTTTGGTGTTTTAGACATGAAGTCCTTGCCCATGCCTATGTCCTGAATGGTATTGCCTAGGTTTTCTTCTAGGGTTTTTATGGTTTTAGGTCTAACATTTAAGTCTTTAATCCATCTTGAATTAATTTTTGTATAAGGTGTAAGGAAGGGATCCAGTTTCAGCTTTCTCCATATGGCTAGCCAGTTTTCCCAGCACCATTTATTAAATAGGGAATCCTTTCCCCATTTCTTGTTTTTGTCAGGTTTGGGAAGGACTGTTTTTTAAAGTTAGAATTCTGAGTCTGCATTGTTGGCTCTCTGATAGTGGGCTTTATAAAGCATTGCTTTGTTGACTTATTCAATGTGAAAGATAATAGTTATGCCAAAAACTGCTTATGAAGTTTGACTGAAGATTACGTTTTGTAGAGGGTCTATCACAGTGTGTGTAGGTAGAAAATGCATTGAGATGGAATTTTTGTACTGGGGTAGGAGGTTATTGTAGGTAACTTTGAAAGCAAACACTATGAGGATATATTCCTATAGTTGGTGACTTATTCAAGGTAGCACATCTAGTAAGTGGCAGAAGCAAGATTGGAACCCAAGTCTCATGCTCTCAGTGTACATCTAAAATTTAGTCTAATTTTAATACTATATTTTGAGCACCTGCTTTTGATCAAGTTATTGAGCTACATTTTAAAGGTACAGATATGAAAAAAGAGGCCTTGCTAGGAGGGTTTTATAGTGTGGAATGGGAAATAAATAAATTCGATGAAAGAAAAGCTTGCACCATTGGTGTGGTGTATAGTATTGTACATGGTTTTGGTGATGTCAAGGAAGGCTTTGTTACTGTGGAGACATTTGAATTGGGCCTACAAGTATTGCCAGCTCCATTTTCAGGAAGTAGCTATATCAATAATACTTGCTTTATTTTTCATATTACAGTTTTTCTTAAAAATAAGACTATTTCATTGACCTTGAGTAAACTTTCAATAACAATGCTTATTTATTGTAAGTTGAGCTTTAAAATACCTTTGCGTCTTAAAATAATCAGAATGTTCTGTTTATAATTATTTCTAACTTCATTACATTTTTCTATTTAGTGCTTGCAGTTTTTATTTTTCCTCAAAAATATTTAAGCCAGTAGGGTTTTAATGAAAAGTTGTAGAAGATTCTGAGTTCTATAATCTTTGTTTTCTTTGAGTCCTCCTCATCATTATCCTCACAGCCTCATGATAAAACAATATATTTTTAGCACTTGGTAAGCAATTGCTATGGGACAAGCATCATGCTAATCACTTTACATATAGTATTCTAATTCTTCAATAATCTAGTTCAGTAGCTGGAAGCCCCATTTGCAGATTTTGAACTAAGGCTCAGAGATTTTAAGAAATGATCTCAAAATTGCATGACTGGCACCAACATTACTGTTCTCTGACTATGACCTAGTGGTTCTTATTTGTCTGCTTTGTTGGGTTTCACTACTTTCTCACTAGCTTTATTATTGAAAACGCTGATGATTCCCGGTAAGAGTAACCCAGTATGAAGTAGATGAAATCACAGAGAGAATTTGTTGGCTGCTATTTCCAGGAAAGAGAGCTGATATCAGGGATGACTAGAGCCAGAACTTCAAATATCACTAGGAACAGCTCTAGGTCTCATCTGTGCTCTCTGCATATTGTCTTTGTTCTCAGACCAGCTCCTCCTTGCAGCAAACAGTATAGGCTTCAGTCCCTCCAGGCTCACATCTTCACAGCTTGCCATCAAGGAAAATAAGTATTTAATGTTATTCAGCTCCAGTGTGAACTATTCTAGGGAACATTTGCTGGCTCGCATGTCTAGCCCTTGGCCTGGTCATTATGACCAAGATGGTAAGTGCTATGCTCAGTTTTTTTAGAAGTCAGGTGTTCGCTTTGATGGCTGTAGGGAGAGAGGGAGGGGATGGTCTGTTATTATAATTGGGAGGCAAAAGGGGTTGTACAGACATGGCCTCCAAGTAATTGCATAAGCCAGGCAGTTATCTCAATTTGTGGCTATAACACAGGTCATTATGATGCCTCTGCTATTCTTGTCTTAGTTAAGTCTTCACCATTTAACACCCTAGGTGATTAGTTCTCTTAAATCGCATCTGTAGGATGGAGAGCTTTGGATTCATATTGTCCATTAAGGTAAAAACTCTGTCAAGTTTATTTTGAACAGTTAAAGTTGGTTTGACCCAAATATAGTCTCTAAATCTTAAACATTTAAAAAATCTAAGGTAGGAAATTCTGTTTCTGATGGGGAACAGGATCAGCCTATGCAATTAAAAGAAAAATTAACGTGTGTTGAACAGACTTCAGACTCTGCAAAAGTGATATGTAAACAGACACCCTGGGTGCATTTGGTCAACCTTGCTTTTGGCTAGCATGTGCCAACATTTCAGAGCTCGCTCAAAACTATGTGATTACATTTCTTGCCTCAAAAAGCTGAGATTTTTTTTGTCTGCAGTGACTTTATGAAGGTACTGCCCACTTTGAAACTGTCTGAAGTCAGCCAGGCACGGTGGCTCATGCCTGTAATCCCAGAACTTTGGGAGGCTGAGGCGGGTGGACATAAAGACTTGAGGTCAGGCATTGGAGACCAGTCTGGCCAAAAATCCTGTCTCTACTAAAAACAAAATACAAAAATTAGCTGGGCGTAGTGGCATGTGCCTGTAGTCCCAGCTACTCAGGAGGCTGAGGCAGGAGAATTGCTTGAACCTGGGAGGTGGAGGTTGCAGTGAGCCAAGATTGTGCCACTGCACTCCAGCTTGGGTGACAGCAAAACTCTGTTTCAAAAAACAAACAAACAAACAAACAAACAAAAAACAAAAAACTGAAGTCATCAGTCAGCTGACACTTTAAGTGTTGAGGCACATTACTGGAAAGATTCTAAGCCTTAGAGACTTACACTGTGATAAGTGTCTTTTAAATGCTGTGAAACTTCTTCATGAGACCTTGTAATGTGTTTCAACAAGTATTTATTAATTTATTTTAAAGAGTGAAATTAGACAGTTTTTAGAGTATTTAAAATAAGAGATATTCTTTAATCAATAGGAAACTGTTTCTTTCTAAGCAACGTCATATGTCAGCCCTGTGTTGAATGTGAATAGAGATACTCTATGTGGGAAGCTCTATCTTCTTGGAATGCTGACTTTAATTTTGTTGATAAAGATAGAGAGGTAGAAATTCTACCTTTTCTACAAAAGAAAGAAAAGAAATTCTTTCTTTTCTACAACGTCTTGAATTCCCCACCACTCTATCAACACGTACATCTTACTCGGGAATGGAAGGTGGAAAGAGATGGGGAAAAGGAGCTTGCTAATTGGGGAGAGGATATTAGGATGAAAATTTAACTTCCCAGTTAAATGTCTCAAAGCCTTTTTTTGTAAAGTGGTGACTTTAAGGTTAAATCTGTCTCTTTTTGGCAAACACTCAGACTTTCATGGATGTGAGGCAAAGCTTTCATGTGCTTATGTCCTCTGACCTGGATGGCTACCTCCGAGATGCTTCTTTCTCTGACTGCCACTGGCCTTCCTGCTGGCTTGCGCTGCTGAGTCTGTGGCTAACAAGGTTCATAGCATGTTTTCCTAGCAGCATCAACATCAGCGGTCAATGCCAACGGATCTGGAGTCTCACCCACAGAGCCCAGGCTAGACTATTTTGGTTGCTGCCCCTCATCCACTGGGGGCCTGCAGGGATATTTAGGTCAACACTAAGGTGCTTCTCCTGTGTATGTTTCTTTTTTCTGTTGGACTGCATTGAATTTGAAGAGGCACCTAGGTAGAGGCAGTTGCATACTTGGATTTGTAGCTCAGAGAAAGGCTATTAACTGGAGAAAAATATTTGTAGGTTATTAACATTTACTTTTATTAAAGCAGTGGTAGTGGATACATTGGGGTTTCTGTCCTTTTGCAAACTCTCTACTGCATATGTACTAGTGGTTTTGTGCCAGAGTAGGGGATCAGGACTCTCATGTCTGCCTCCTGGTCTCTCTTTCTCCTCTTTCTATAATTTTTTTTGGAGAAAACATATGATTTCTTGGTCTTCTAGAAACTTCTTACATCTTCCTTTTTCCAGCATTGGCATTCATCCTTCCTTTTCTCTGGGGCCATAGGACTGGAGGGCTGCAGGGAATGGAGGTCGGATTCAAAATATAAAAAATACCAAGAGATGTATATAGAGGATATTAATCCTGACACAGAGGTAAAACTTATGGAACATGAGAAGGCAGTGAAAAAATATTCAATCACAGCCTCAGTAGCTAAGTCTTCGATGTTTAGATCTCATTTTCTAGTTGTGCTTTGGGTGTTTTAAATTTGTTAAATAACCTGTAGGATTTGATCATCTCCTCCAGATATAAATCTCATTTACATTTACGCTGAACACCCTTTTGAAGTCATCTATTTCAAAGACCTCTTAAAACTTTAGCTTTTTTTTTTTTTGTGAAATACAGGCTTAAAAAATTATGTCAAGTGGACTGTATATTATACTTTACATACTTCAAAGTCCCTCTGCCTATAGAGGGAGTTTAAAAGGGATAGAAATTAGAGAAACTGCAAAGCTGAAAAAGTAAAAACAACTGTGCATTGTCTGTAAAAATGTTTTTCAAATAAGAATGAAAACATTTTCCCCCAGAGTTCCCTTTTGTTATAAATGTAAGGAATGCATGGTTCGGACTTGAGCAAATGTATCTAGCACTCTCTGATAATGAGTAATGGATGAACTGAAATGGTAGCCATGCTTATGCTAATTTTATAAGCATTTTGATCAACACCATAATCAAGAAACTTAGAGAAGTCATATAATGCCCATTGTGTTGCCTGAATAACATATATTATACACCTGAGACTCAGCATCTAATACCCTGTGAAATAGCTTGATAGCCCAAGAGCTTACTAATGGAGGAAAATGGCTCACTGAAGCTGAGGGAAATTAGAGTGGGAGTCACCTGTTCTCTTAGAGTCCTCAAGTAGAAGGCAGTCTGGCACTGTGGTTCTTATTAATCAATACCTACATTTCTGGGTCTGTCTTGATTTTAGGTAATAAAGCAGAGAGAATCAGACAACCTTCGGATAATAAATTGCAGGATCTGGAGAAGTTAGAATATTAATGTTCTCCCTTTTCTTCACTATTATTGACCTGTAATTTTAGTATAATTTCCTTTTACTTATCTTGAAACATAGAAAATTGGTCACCTTTAACTTCATAATCTTCCTCTGTAAATGTAAAGACTGTTGTCCATTTTCAAATTTTTCTTGTATGTCTCCTCTTCTGAAGGCTTTTAGGAGTTTATTATAACTAGTAGCGACCTCTTTAAATTTCCTGTAGTTATTTGAAAATGCATCATGGCATTGATTAAAAAATACTTCTTTAGATTTTTAAAATAATATATACTCAACAAACAACTTTGTTTTGCTAATTTTCAGTGGCAAACTGCTCTCCTCATTTTCAATTATCTTTTAAATATGCGTGTCCGGAGACATAGATACTAATTATTTCTAGTAGCTGCCACCGAATGAATAACCGTGTCTCTACGTGTTAACTGACCCTGTGGCTGAAATTTCAGATATAGATAATTGACAAAAACAGAAATAGTATAATTTCTATTCCACATTACATTTTAATATTAATATTTAACTATAGAAACTAAGAGATTCAGTGAAAGATATAAGGAAATGTCATGTCTTGGTTATTTGTTAATTATTATTTTTGCTCACTAGATTGAACAGCTACCCATCTTTCCTGCTGTCCTTTCAGGTTTCTAGAGTTTAGGTTCAAGTCATTGTCTTTCACAACTTTTTTGAGACCTGTCCATTCTGACTGCTCTGAATCCTGTGTAAGCAGCAGCTTTGGCAGAATCACTTTTCATCTTCTACTACACTTACCAGAGAGAAAACGAACTTTCCACTTTCTGGTGTCTTGGTTGGCTCTGAGTGATCACAGCTTCCCTGCTTTTGTCTTTGTGGAGACCTATTCCCATTTCCTGCTCTGCTTCCCTGGGGCTCCAAGTGTTCCCTCAGGCTTTCCTTTGCTTGTCTCACTTCTGGCCTCTCCCTGAAAATGTTCTGCCAGTTTCAGGTAATCGTTATTACCATGCCTGTCTTATTTTCTACACAACCTTTAAAAGTCTCTGAAAATAGCACACTATTATCTCACCCTGCCTATCTTATTGATAGATGCAGCTCCAGAAACTAGAGCACAGTAGGTGCTTACCAAATATTTGGTTTTCCTTAAAACTGTTTCTGGATTTCTTTGCTTTTGACTTTTCATACTATCACAGGCAAAATTATCCACTAACACTGCTTCGATAAATGTAAATGCTAACAACCTACAAATATTTGTCTCATTTATAGCCCTCCTCTGAGCTACACATTCAAGTATCCATCCTCTTCTACATAGATGCCACTTCAAATTCAATATTTAGACCCAAACTAAATGAATAAGCTAGTTTCTCTGAATGCTGCCACAAGTGTAAATGAAATGAAAAACTTGCTTATTCTTAGGTGTTGTGTACTTCATAACTGGAATACTTATCCATGCACTTAGTCAAGCCTTAAAATTGGGGTCATCCTTTCATTCTGTCTCCTTCATCTTTGTTATTGCCAAATCCTGTTGAATCTGCCTTGTAAATAGTTCTCAAATCTATCCTCCTTCCTTTATTGTTGCTGCTACCACCCTAATCAAGGTCATCATTATTTGTCATCATTATTTCTGTATTCTTACAATATTCCACATTGGTGTCCTTGGGTCCAATCTCGTTCCTATCCAATCTTTCTCTACCACATATCCTCAGAGATCAGTCATCATCTAAATGTGACTATGATTGATACCCTTTTTCCAAACAAACACACCAATGAAAGCTCTTCAGTGGCTTCTCATTCTCTTTCAGAAAAAGTCCAATTCCTATGTCAGCTGAAATGGGGTGGTGTATCCTTAACCCTCCCACTGACCTATTTTGCTTTGAGTGCTGGGAAGAGTAAATAAATCACATGGTTGATCCTTAGGCAATTTCTCCCGCATTATACTTTTCTAAGCTAGACTATAGTTAGAAGCCAGATAGAAAAATTTGAGGTTATATTTTCCATGAGAAACTTGTATCCTGTTTTTCTATATTAATAATTAAGGGTTGATTATTAAACTTTGAAAACAGAGGAACATGTGATAGGACGAATATCTTATGATAAAAATTAAAGAATTTCTCCAGTGTTCCTGAAGATTAAAAGACTATAGAAAAGGATACTAGTAAGCAATGGTTAGAGTTTTCTGTAAGAGTCATCTTTGAATCAGCTCCAACATATGAACAAATGTTCAGTTGAATCACAGTTTTCAGACATTACTGAATGGCAAACTTATTTTTGTCTAGAAAACTTTCAGTTATTACTTGCATCCCATTTCAGACATAAAAATGTATCAATAATGCCGTCAAGCATTTTCTAATTTTGAGATATAACTTAATGCCTTTTAATAATTTACAATACATTCATTGTTGCCCCCCTGCCCCAACTCCCCCCAAGGTCTTTTCTGCAATCAACGTATCTTAAAAGTGAAAATTTCTTTGCTGGTTCTTGTGAGCAAAAACACCCCTATTCTTTCTCCAACTAATTATTTAAAGAGCCAGTCAGGTTTACTATTGGGGCAAGTAGTTTGAATATTTTTAAAACTTTAATCCACAGATTGTGTAAAGTGTAAAAGTAACATATATGTTAAACTTATTTAAAGTTGTTACTTTCTGATTCTACCTTCATCTTCTTTTCTTCCATTACAGTAGGAGCATATTGCAATTCCCTTCTCTTTCTTCACTGTTATTAACTTTTCCCCTTTTATCAGAAAAAGGATCTTGCTTTCTTTGATTCTCTTATTGATATTTTAAAAGGACTTTTTTTCCTCTCTTGCTGTCTCTCTCAGGCAAGTCCCATCTCAATTGTCCTTTGTCATTCATTGTCAGTCTTTGTGTCCATCCTCTTATCCCAGCCTAGTTTTTTCCTTTTTCTTTTTTTTGGGGGGGGGCATGAAAGTGGGGGACATTGGTGTTGGGAGTCTCATATCAGTGTCAGGGCTTAAGCAAAATGCAATCATTTTCAAATGTGAATTGAAGTTTATACCAAAAAGGCAATGTTTCTTTGTTTCAATAAATTGGAGCCTCCTGCAACTCATTCTTATTTAAAGAAATTTTAAAATAGAACTTCTAAATAACTAATAGCTGGAAAATCCTGGTTTGGGGCTTTAGTCACTAAAGATAAGGAAAAAAAAACATTTGCTTCCGTCCTCCCATCTGGCTTTTACACATGCATTTCAGGCTCAGTGTGCTCTTGCTCTTTCTTTTATCTATGCCCATCTGCTTGTATGGTGTGTTCTCACCCTAACATATTTTCAGACCCTTGCCATAGGGCAGAAGTGCCAAGCAATTATTTGTTGAGATAGATAGCCCACATAATACTGTAAGTGACATCTGTTCTGTAGAAAATCCCTCCCTTGTGGCAGCCGTGTCATATTGGCAGCTCATAGGAATATTGGAATTGACATAGAGGGACAATTGAATGTTTCATCTTATCCTGAATTCTCACTCAGAATGCATCCAATACCAGATGCTTTAGAGAACCAAGTAACCCCCTGTCTCTTTCTCTTGTTCGCTCTACACCTATGGTAATTGGCAATACTACACTATGGGGAAAATTTCTTCCTGACCCCAGCTGGTAACCAAATTATGCCCTAAAGCATGAAGACTGGCATACTTTAAAGTTTGTTGCAGTTAAGATGCTGAAAAATGGGATGTTTTTCATATTAATGTGCTTACTAGATTGTTTGACCTAAAATAATAGCTTGAGTAGTAAATTTCACAAATTACTCTTAATAACATGATTTGGCAAAATTACAGTGACAGATGAACATTTTAAACTTTTAAGAGTGCTGATCTCCATGTTTGGCAATTGGATCTTCTCTTTTAGACTATTTTCAAATAGATGATAAGAAAAAGAGACCACAGTCTATAGTGGTTTAAGGCTTGGTTCTTTGTATAAAGGTATATTTAGTAAAATATATTAATTGCCTCTGGGTAAACTCTGAATTTATTAACTTTTAGCCATTTGATATTACAAAGGCAGGCAGAAATTGGAGCTATAGTCAGTATTGGTAAATTAAAAATACAATATACAAATTAGGTTCTGTATAAATTCAATTTCCCATACCATCTACATTGATGCTGTTAATCTCTTCCAAAACACTCAGAACATCATAAACACTTCAGATTTTAAAAAAGTTAGAATCATTATGAAAGGCTTTTAAAATAAAGGTTGAAATGAAAGCACTCAACTACACAATTGGATTAACCCATTTATTTTGGCTTATATTTAAGTACAATTTAAACATTTAGTAATAATATGCTGTATTAGTTACGCATTGTTGCAATACCAACTACTATGAAAATCAGTGACCTAAAACAACTATGTTACTTCTTCATGATTCTCTGGGTTAGCAATATGGGCTAGGTTCATTCGCTTGCTTCCATTCTGCATCTTGTTGGGTGAGTGTCCTGGAGATTGATATTTTAAGACAGCTTCACTCAAAAGTCTTGTTTGAGACTGACTGATGACTGTTGGCTGAGCCGTGTGTCTCTAGCAGTATGGTTTGGCTTCTTCATATGTGGATCTAAAAGCAAGAAGAAAGGGGACTGGTCGTAATGTGGAAGTTATTTTAAACTTCTACTTGTATGTTGTCCCTTCAGCCAAATCATCATGGCTAACTCTAGAGTCGCCGTGGGAGAAGACTGCATAATGGAGTGGATAGAGGGAGGTGTGATTCATTGGGTACCCTAACTGTAAAAATCTACCACATATTGCTATTCAGGATTACCAGTTAGCAGAACCTTACTTTCCTAATTATTTAACATGGTGCAGTCATTACTAGAATCTTGTGCTAAATCCTGTAAATCTGCAAGAGAAGAGAACTGTGTAGAAAATGTAAAGATCAGTGAAACGAATTCCTTACTTGATCAGTTTTTCTCTCTACATATTTTTGATACCGATTCTTTGTAGGACATGTGGTTTGCCAATATTTATTCCCTATCTATCTTTTCATCCTTTTAACAAGATCTTTCACAGAGAAAAACATTTTAATTTTGATAAAGTCCAATTTAATGAATATTTATTTTATGGATTGTGCTTTTGGTATCATGTAAGAACTCTTTTTATACATTGCTAGATTCAATTTGCCAGTATTTTGCTGAAGACTTTTGCTTCTAAATCTATGAAAGATATTGATCTGTAATTTTCTTTTCCTTCCTTCCTTCCTTCCTTCCTTCCTTCCTTCCTTCCTTCCTTCCTTCCTTCCTTTTCTTCCTCTCTCTTTCTTTCTTCTTTTCCTTCTTGCTTTTGTTTTTGTCTGGTTTTGGTATCAAGGTGATGCTGATCTCATAACATAAGTTGGGAAGTATTCATTTAAATGATATTTTCTGAAAGAGATTCTGTGTAATTGGTGCCAATTCTTAGTTAATGTTTGGTCATCTGGGCCTAAAGATTAATTTATTGTTTTCAAATTTAAGATCAGTTACTTTAACAGTTATAGGGTATTAAAATCGCTAACTAAAATTGTGGATTTGTCTATTTTTCTTTCAGTTCTCTCAGTTTTCCTTCTATATATGTTGATGAACTGTTGTTTGGTGCATGTACAGTAGGATGACTAGGTGTTCTTGGTGGATTCACCCTTTCACTATTATGTAATAGCCTTCTTTGTTTCTGCTTAAGTCTTTTTGCTCAGAAGTCTATTTTATGTGATACTAATACAGTTATTCTTGGTTGCGGCTGGGCGCAGTGGTTCACGCCGAGACCAGTCTAGGCAACACAGTGAAACCCCATCTCTACTAAAATAGAAAAATTAGCTGGGCGTGGTGGTGCACGCCTGTAGTCCTAGCTACTCGGGAGACTGAGGCAGGAGAATCGCTTGCACCCGGGAGAGGGAGGTTGCAGTGAGCCGAGATCGTGACACTGCACTCCAGCCTATGCAGCAGAGTGAGACTCCGTCTCAAAAAAAAGAAAAAAAAAGTTAATGTTTGCATAGTATATCTTTTTCTGTCCACTCAATTTGCTTATATTATCATGTTTTTAGCAAGTTTCTTATAATTTTGGTCATGTTTTTATCCACCTTGCTAATCTCTATCTTTTGATTGATATGTTTAGATCAGTTACAGTTAGTATAACTATTGATATGTGAAGAGTTAAGTCTGTCAGTTTATGTATTTATTGTTTGTTCACTCACTCTGTTTCTCATTCTTTGATTTCCCTTTTCTGTCCTTACTGTAGATAATTTAAACATTTTTCAGAGTTTCATTTTGATTTATTTACACTATTTCTGAGTCCATATCATTGGATAGTTTTGTTTTGTTTTGTTTTTTAGTGGTTGCTCTGGGTATTACAGCACAATAATCTTCCTTTATTCACAGTTTTGTTTGTGCTGTTTTCGGTTATCCATGGTTAACCGTGGTTTAAAAATATCAAATACAAAATTCCAGAAATAAACAATTCACAGGTTTGAATTGTGCTCCATTCTGAGGAGTGTGATGAGATCACACACCTTCCTTCTCTGTCCCCTGTGGAATATGAATCATCCCTTTGTCCTGCATCGCCACACTATAAAAGCTACTTCCTGTTAGTCACTTAGTAGCCATTTTCGTTATCAGATTAACTTTTGCTGTCTCACACTGCTTGTGTCCAAGTCACCCTTATTTTACTTAATAATGGCCCAAAAATGCAAGAATATTGATGTTGGCATATTGTTATAATTGTTCTATTTTATTATGTTGTTGTTAATATCTGACTGAAGCTAATTTGTAAATTAAAATTTATCATAGACATGTCTATATAGGAGAAAACATAGTAAATGTAGAGTTCAGTACTAATGCAGTTTCAGGCAGCTACTGGGGGTCTTAGAACATATCCTCCCATGGATAAAGGGGGACTACTGTATACATATGTCTACTGTCACGGTCTACATACTTCATAGTCTCCTGTATTGACATTTTACCACTTTGCGTAAAGTATAGAAAATTGATTTATATTCAGATTCTTTTATCCTGCCCACTTTCTTTTTTCTTTCTTTCTTTCTTTTTTTTTTTTGAAACAGAGTGTCGCTCTGTCGCCAGGCTGGAGTGTAGTGGTGCAATCTCAGCTCACTGCAACCTCCGACTCCCTGGTTCGAGCGATTCTCCTGCCTCAGCCTCCCGAGTAGCTGGGATTACAGGCATGCGGCACCACGCTCAGCTAATTTTTGTATTTTTAGTAGAGATGGGGTTTCACCATGATGGCCAGGATGTTCTCGATTTCCTGACTTCGTGATCTGCCCTCTTCGGCCTCCCAAAGTGCTGGGATTACAGGCGTGAGCCACAGCGCCCAGCCTATCTTGCCCACTTTCTATTTATAATATTAGTTTGTCTAAATACTTTGAGCACACATCAGAAGGCATTGTAATATTTGCTTAAATCATCAAACATGACTTTACAAGCTCATGAAAAAAGAACTGTCAAAACTCAAGAATAAGAAAACAACCCAGTTTAAAATGCACAAAATATCGGGACAGATACTTTACAAAAGAAGATATACAAGTGGAAAAAAAAAACGCATAGTAAGAGGACTCTCAGTATCATATGTCATGGAGAAGTTGCAAATTAATATGACAGTGAGATTCTACTATACACATATTAGAATGGCTAAAATCCAAAACAATGAAAATACCACATATTGTCAAGGATCCACCTGCTCCAACCTTCCTTTTTTCTTTTGTTTTATTTTTGGAGAGAGAAATACAGTTTAATTTCGTCACCAAATGAAAACGACATTAAGGACAGATTATGCTCATTTAAAATATGAGACTATTTGACAAGTATGAAGGTAATAGCAATACAAAAGTGAAGCAACAGTCAGAGATTTTATAAAGAAACCACCCTTAAAATTTTATATCTCAGGAAGGCAAGACAAGTAGTTATAGGGGTGTGTGTGTTTATGTGTGTGTGTGGAGCGGGGAGTGTTGATGTTGGCTGAGCCCATAAGACAGTAGAAATCTTAGTCAAAGTATCTGGGAAAAAGTCCTGTAAGAGTTGTTGAAGAAGAAGGATTTAGTCAATAAAGGGAAATACAAAGTTATATTTAAGACGTATTAAGTTCAAGATTACAATGGAAAAGTGGTAGTAAGTAGTTAGTACTGGATTTGGATTAGACTTTAGAAGAGGAAACACATCTAATGCACAGATGTGGCAGTTAGTTGCAAAGGCAACAGATGAAGCCAAGACAAAGAAGGATAATAAGCAAAGGATAGAATCTTGGAATACACTCATGATTAGGAGGGAAGAGAGGAAGGGTTGAGAGTAGTGGATGAGAAAAAAAGTAGTGTGATATGATAGAGGGCAAAGCAAGAGATATTCAAGAAAGAGAGCTCCTCCAGATGCAGTAGAAAAAAAAATAAAAGGAAACGTAGAATCCCTAAAGGTCATTGAACTGAGGTGATCATAGCTGACCTTTGAAAGTGTCATAGTTTCAAAAAGATTTGGGAACAGAAGCCAGATTACAACATATTAATGAGTGAGTTCAAAATATAAAAGGCTACTTTGGTAGTAAAAGGAGGAAAGGGGAACTGACGATAGTTTCAGGGTACATCACAGTAAAGTCTTAGTGATAGGACCATAGTCTACAGCATTTGTATTAGTCACATATATTGGATATTGCATATGAAGCTTTGGGGTTTGGATATGTGTGTATGTATATGTGTATGTGTGTATGTATATGTGTATGTGTGTATGTGTCCACACATGCATGCTAGCACATTTGCTACAATGTCACCTTTTCACTCATGCATGCCTGTACCCCTAAACACACACACTTTTGTTTTGTTTTTGCAATTAGTATAGTTGCATAACTAGAAGTGCTTTATGTTTTCAATAAAACAGAAAAACTTTATGAAAAAAATAGGATTTAAGGTGAGTTAAGGCAAAAAAGTTTTGAAAATTCAGTGGTTTTATGGCCAAATATTAGACTACATTCTGAAAAGGTCAAACCATGAAAGGGATATTAAGTAAGCAGCCCTGTATTATAAATTTTGTAAATCTTGGATACCATTTTAATGATGCTTTTGCAAGTGGGTATTACGCTTGTTAATTAAAGTTGAAAAAATAACCAACAACATCCTCATTATTAGTATCTATAAGTAGCAGTTCATCTGCTGAATATCCCAGGCATATATATTTAAAGCACAATGTGTTATATAAAATCAGTGATTGTAAGTTTAATTAACATCGAATGAGACTTAGCAATTTAACTTCAATTTACAGCATAAAGGTTACCTGTGCTGAGCTCATTCCATAATACTGGTGCTATTATAACATTGAACAATAAATTGACCACTGAATAAGAAATAAGAACAAAGAAAAGCCATTTGTAAGTTGGACCATCTGTAAGACTACTATATCTCAATGTACTCTGTTTTTTTTGTTGTTGTTTTTTGTTTGTTTGTTTTTATTTTGTTTTGTTTTGTTTGAAACGGAGTCTTTCTCTGTCACCCAGGCGGGAGTGCAGTGGCTCAATCTGAGGTCACTGCAACCTCAGCCTCCCAGGTTCAAGCAATTCTCCTGCCTCAGCCTCCCAAGTAGCTGGGACCACAGGCACATGCCACCACGCCTGGCTAATTTTTTGCATTTTTGGTAGAGACGGGATTTCATCATATTAGCCAGGATGGTCTCGATCTCCTGACCTTGTGGTCCGCCTGTCTCAGCCTCCCAAAGTGCTGGGATTACAGGCGTGAGCCACCACGCCTGGCCAAAATGTATTCTTATTTTAAAATTTTAAATACATTTGTCATTACATGGTAGTACTTACGAAAAACTAAAACCTGAAGTCTAGTCTAGACCTAAACATAATGAGAAAAAAGTAATCACATTAACAGCTGTTGGTCTTATGCATCTGACTTCAAACCAATTCTGACTTTTATAACATTGTTCAGGTTACCAGGTGCTGGAGGCAAATTCTCTGTAGTGTTTATGATCTCACACTCAGGAATCAAGATTATTTATGTCCTTTTCTCCCTCCTTAATGTATTTAAAACTACCTCATATGTTATTCTGTTGGTGTCCAATCTGTTTCAGTGGTTTCTATACTTGTCCTGCCTACTTTCAATTTCTTCTTGTGGTTTTGTTTTTGTAAATTCGACTCACTTTTATAAGTTCTTTCAAATTTGTGCAGCCTGGGGAAAATGGAAAATGAAGGAAAATCACCAAAACCTTATGCACAAAAGTTTTGCAAACCGCCTTAAAAAGTTTATATCTCAGGAAGGTAAGACAAGTGAACATTACCACATTTCTGTTACTGATTTTTTGGTGGGTCAGGTTATGTCTATACTAACTTTTAGAGCTTGCATTTCCCCCAAGGTATATCCACCTATGAATATATTTTCCTAACATACACTTTGATCTTGCTTTCCCTATCGGAACTTTGGAAATCAATGATGTCATAATATTTGCAGAGAAGACAGGGATTTGTCTATAAAAAAGTTAGAGATTATTTTTGGCATAGCAGATGTAAAATATGGAATATGAAGTGACACAGAGAATATGCATTTGGTAAGAGCACAGTGAAAAAGTGATAAAATTAAACAAAAAAAGAAAGAAGAAACAAAATCAGACCCACGCTAAAGCCATTTAACAGGTTAGTCATATATTAAATTGTGGAGCATATACGTCTAATATTCAGAAGTCAAAGCCTCAAATTTTGCATTTTCAGTTTTTCTTTCTGAAATGCTTTTCTTTTCTTTCTGAAAAGAAAGGGTCTTTTCTTGCCCATTTTGTTGTCCTGTGCCTTTATGATCCTTCTTTCTCATATGTGTGCCCTTGAAATATTTGTTCTCGTTTTTAAAATAAAGGGCTCATCTAAGAATTGTACCTGTAGATTTTTCTTTTGGTTTCCATTTTTCAAACATATATATTCTATGGACCACATTGCAGAGTTCACGTGTCTTACCATGGTTTCATGGATGTCACGTCTTCTTACTAGAGATTTTCCCGTGAGGACAAGGCCCAAGTCTACTACTTACTTTGAAATTTCAAAGTACTCAGTCTGCTGATGTATTAACTCAATAGGTACTCAGTAAATGTTAATTGGTTGGATAAATGAAACAATGAAAGAGATGCAAGTCCCTTCACCTTTGTAAAAAATTATTAATCTATGCTTCCTTTAAACTGGTTTAAATTGTTGTAAGGGCACTTATTGGGGCCTTTTGTTAATTTAACTTGTATTTTGTTGTAGAGCCTATGGAAGTGTCTAGTCCTAAAGTAATGGTCAGACTCGCTTCCATAGTATATTTTCTGGACATAGGATTAGAGATCTAATCTGGCAAGTGGTTAACTACTCAGTGACTATCGAGGTGACCCACATTTTCTACTTTTTCACCCCTGATATGGGTAAAGAGAGCAGTAATAAACATCTCAGAAATATGCCTTGTGTAGTTGGTGGAGAATGCCCAAACAAATTAATTAAATGTATTAATGTGGTGAGCATCTCCTTTAACCATAGCCTGATTTTAAGTCTGTTAGAACAACATCAAAAGAAGGGTATGTTCAGTAAAAGTTTAATTCATGTACACATACATATTAAACTTCCTTCTTAAACATTGAGTGTTAAAATGTCATCATAATGGAACAAAAATACTTCCACTGAAATGTAAAATACTAAAATATCTGATTATACTTATTTTGCCTCAGGTAACATATTTATTTTAGAATTAATGGAATACACGAAAGATGTATTTGCAAAGATTTTTGTCTATTTAAGTCTGCTGTTCCAAAGCAGTGTTACAGTCCTATTACAGCTAATCAAATGGAGTCTTCAGGCTTTGTCAGTTAGTTGAACTTCAAGTTGTAACTAGTATTAAAGTAATAGATGCATAAGAACCAAACAGTAATATCTAACTCCTGCCATTTATTCTTTCCACTTGAACCTTAGGGCAATGTGAAAGTGCTTTCGAGTTCACAGGGGAATTCACTGGAGACACTGGGATAAGATCTGATCTCTGAAAGGACAATTAATAGGTAAAAAAGGTCCCTATATTTGGAAGTTTAAATTATGTCTTTATGGGAGATCTAGTAGCTTTACTGGAGACAAAGGTCGGACAGTGTTTCCATTAAAATGGCATTTTGCAGAGCAAACATCGTCACTGTAAGAATTTGCTCTGGGCTAAAGTTGGCATTAAGATTCTAGCCCAGAAGCTATTTTGTTTGAGAGATTCAGTTTGGCCATTTTAGTTTAATGGTTAAAGGGGATGAATAGTATATATATCTTACTACTTCTTTTTCCTTTTTTTTTTAGCGTAATTATCAAATTGTTTTTGGCATGGCATTTGCAAATGGATAATCTTTTTTTCTATACAACTAAGCACATGTTTATAAAAAGAAGAATTTAGAACAATGCACATTTTCAGCCTTGAATGATTCTGTAAATTGGGTTAAGAAATTTGAGTTCTTGTTATTTTTATTTATTTAAAAATTTTATTAGAGATGTTTCTCCATCTAGAGTATAATTGACTCAATTTTGACATCTATTTGGAAGCCAAATATCTTTGTTTATATAGGGTCTTGAGTCTCTAGTTTTATTCTCTTACGGAAACATCTTGTAAAAATGTTGATTTTCTAATGGTGGGGACATATTACAGATGTTTATGAATTGCCTGTATTAAGATTGCTTTTCTGTTAGTGATGACCTAGCTGAGGGAGAAGCACACTGAAGGAAAACACAATTGTAAACTTCTAAGGGAAAGGCAACATTAACAAGTTGTTTCACTATTTACACATTTACTTTTATTTAGGATTTTACATTGTTTAATAGTACTTGCAACAATTGAAAGCTAAATGACACTTTAAAAAAGCTAAATGAGGAAAGAGAACACTAGATGCTAATGCTCTATTATTCAATGTTCTTCATACAATTCTGAATTATATTACCAATTTCCCTGAAGAAGTTTTATGCATAAGGAATTAGAAGAAAAAGTATTTCTTGTGTATTCTCTTTTAAGTCTACAGTTCAGATCTCTAGCATAATTTTTTTTTCCTTTTTTTATTATACTTAAGTTCTGGGATACATGCGCAGAACGTGCAGGTTTGTTACATAGGTACACATGTGCCATGATGGTTTGCTGCACCCATCAACCTGTCATCTACATTAGGTACTTCTCCTGATGCTATCCCTCCCCTTGCCCCCCACCCCCGACAGGCCCTGGTGTGTGATGTTCCCCTCCCTGTGCCCTATGTTCTCATTGTTCAACTCCAACTTATGAGTGACAACATGTGGTGTTTGGTTTTCTGTTCCTGTGTTAGTTTGTTGAGAATAATGGTTTACAGCTTCATTCATGTCCCTGCAAAGGACATGAACTCATTTTTTACCATCACATAACTCTATCGGTAAACATTTTTGAGCACGTGCAAAGTATCTATGTCTTATTAGATTGTAAAATTTTTACTTCAACCTTGAACTAATATATTTTCAGATAAAATATAATCTTATATTTTAGTTTTAGGAAAAAAAGAAGTGGTAACCATTCTAGTATTTTCTACTTTCACCTAAGTGACGGGACCTCATTTTGGAGAGCAGTTGCCAGTCTGTGTGATAGTTTGACACATCTGGGAGAAGCCATACTGTAGGTCCTCTTGTTAC
The DNA here is from genome assembly GCF_000001405.40 of Homo sapiens. Classification (NCBI taxonomy): domain Eukaryota; kingdom Metazoa; phylum Chordata; class Mammalia; order Primates; family Hominidae; genus Homo; species Homo sapiens. The sequence continues at coordinate 116,090,518 of NC_000007.14, read as the reverse complement.
CAGTGGAGGGTGTCCGGGTTCTTGGCGTCTCGAATGAAGAATTGGACAAAATGCACAAACAAAGCAAGGAAAGAATGAAGTAACAAAAGCAGAGATTTACTGAAAATGAAAGTACACTCCACAGTGTGGGAGCAGGCCGAGCATAGGAGCTCAAGGGCCCAGATACAGAATCTTCTCAGGTCCAAATGCCCCCTAGAGATTTCCCATGGGCCACTTGGTGCTCACCTCATGTAAATGAATTGGTGGCCCGCAATCAGTCTAATTGGTTGCAGAAAGAAACCAACCAGAGGCTGAAGTGAAGTTACAAAGGTCACACTCCTATGCAAACGTCTAATTGGTTGCAAAAATCAACCAATCAGAAGTACTTTCAATTTCTCATCTGCTGGGCAGAAAAACGTGGGGATTTGCAAAGGTAGTCTCTTGTCCTTTTGTTACTTAGGCATGGAAAGTTAGGGTTTTCCTTTCAATTCCATTCTAGGAAGTCAGTGTGAAATGGCCTTAGGTCCCCTGCCTTCAGACCCTTTCTTCTGCCTCACTGTGAGGTTAGGCATCTCTTCCCAGAAGACAGAATTTATGTGATCCAAACCTTGACACCCTGGGCCTTTGGACAGAAGGGAAGTTCCAGGGATACTGGCTAGATGGACAGAGAAAAAAAGTTGACTTCTTTGTTTCAAAACCAGAATTTCCATACGTTTTTATTCATGTGCATCCTTCCCCCATAGCTAGTGGTTAATTAACATTTACCTGTCCTCAAAGCCCAGTTTCAATAGTATTTCTCCAGAGATACTTTCCTTTGTCTTTTGCACCCTCAGTGGGAATTAATATCTCATCTTCTAAATCATCAGTTGAATTTATATTTTGGGTGGAAGCAAGCTGCCTTATATGAGAGGTTTTATATATACATATATATACTTACATTCTTAAGTTCACTTGCTTATGTGTTTCTAGCCTGTAAGACCAGTGCATATTTCATGATTGAATTCCCATCTATGCCAATGGCAGTGATTTATACTTAGTCATTTGGCAAGCACTCTTGGTAAACCTCTTGTTCCGGCCAATACAAAAACTTTTTAATGGTCTCCTGGTCAAGAGTCAGCCTCTTCCAATCATCTTTCACAATGTGACACATTACACTCCTGAGGTAGATCTCCAATTTTGTCATTCTTCCACTAAAAATCTTTCATTGGCTACTCTTCCAATTAAGTGTACTTTATTCATCCTTGTGTTCCTTAAATAATCTATACACTTCCTATTTTTCCAAGGTTCTTTGCTACCTTTTATGGACCATATTTTCAAGCTGACATATGATACTCACTATTCTATATAATCAGATATATTCTATGCTTTTCTGTGATAAACAGTATGGAGTAGGTACAGGTTCAGAGGATTGAGATTACTTCTAGTTGCTATAGATTTAAACAAGTACATGCTAAGTAATAATGAAACAGTGGCATGGTGATAATGGACTGTAGTGAATTGATGGTTGGGTGAACCTCCATACACAAGGAGATTAATAATAGGAGGGAGTAAGCAACTTGTCCAAGTTTGCATAAAGTTCATGAACTGAGTCTTGAACCCAAGGTCAATTGTGTCCATAGTCCTTGTACTCACTCAGTAAATTTCCCTGTCTGTCTCATTTTTCCTTCCCTCTCTGCCCACATCTGTGTATATATGTGTGTGTGTGTTTATGTGTATGTGTGTGCTCTGCGGGTATATTATATATAACTTAGATGATAATATTAAGTACATATATATTTCAGTTATCAGGAAGAATTAAGATGAAAAGGAACAAATGTGAATGTTAAGCTTCTCATTTATGTTAAAAAACCTAATCATAAGTACAAAAATGGGTAGACATAATTTAACATTAGCTTATATAAAAAAGAGATGAGTTTTAATCATAAAAAATAATGACTAAGATTTAAAAAACCTTCTTATCTGCTAGATGCTTTTTAAATAGGTTTTTTAAAAAATATATTGACTCAATTGACCAATACAACCACCCTGAGAGGTGAATACTGTTTTCATTCCCAGTTTATGTATAAAGAAACTGAGGAACACAGATGGTCACCATCCTGTCTCATTCTTTGATTTTCTAATTATCGCAAATATTTAGCCGACTACTACCATGTACTCAGTTTTAGAGACGTGTCAGTGATTAAGGCAGTTCCTCTTATCAGAGAGTTGACAGTCTAATTGGAAAGACAATGAAAAGAGAATTACAGTAAATAATGAAAAGTTCTGCAGTAGGGGTCAGCACAGAGTTCTATAGTAACGAGGAGTGGGGATGGGTGGTTGTCCAATCCACTCTTTGAGAAGGTTAGAGAATGCTTCCCCAAGCAAGTTATCCCCTAGGCTGATGAATGAGAAAAGACTGGAGTAGTAGGGGGCAAGGAAAAAGTACTCTAGGCACAGGAAATAGTAGGTGTAACAGGAGAGATCATGAGAATCATGACAGCAAAGTCCTATAAAGAATGTTGAAGGAGTATGCTGTATATTTATCTCAGAGATGGACTTACAGGGAATTGTGATAACAAGTATTTTCTGAAAGATTGTTATATGGCAAGAATAATACTATTTCACATTATTCCAGAAGGAAGAATTACTAACAGAAGTTAACATGTAGGAGTTAGAATGTGGTAGTCTACAGTTTTAGATTAAAAGTAAGCCTTTTGGCTCTGACATTAATGCAACAACAGAATGGGTTTGAGATCCCTGTTGCTGGAGCTATTTAATTACAAGTTGGAAATTTTTCCTTTTTCATTAATAGTAGGTTTTTTTCTTTCTTTCTCCTATTGGGAAAGAATTTAAATTGTTCTCAAAGATACCTTCCATCTCCCTTATCCCTGAAACCATTGCTAGCCTGGCAAAGGTGATGTTAAAACAATGAACAATGGAATGTAGCACTTTAATTAGCTGAGTACAGAATTTGTAGAAAAGGATTTATAATATTTGAAGTTCAGTTTGTGAGTAATCTTAACAGCTTATGGGTGAAAGCCTGTGCATTTTGGAGAAGTAGTAAAGGATTATGAAACAGTGGTTGTCTATTACACACATTTTCTGTTTAGATATGGAGAGTAGAATAGACATAATATAGGCAACACTGGACAATATTCTCAGTATCCTAGACATTCTATTTTAATAAAATGTATATTTTGAAGGGCCTAAATATTAAATGTGATAATTTTTATTTCTTAATTTTCACCTGTAACAGTCCCTTAGAAGACAAAGCACTTCATTTAATATATGAAATGCTCTAGTAAAATATTTAAGAGTTTTTTATATAGTTTATTCCAAATAAATGTATTTTAAGCCCAGTTTCATTGGGGTAAAATTCTGCATCCCAGGGTGTGGCATTTAGGCTTAGTTGGAAGTTTTTAACATTGGCTGAGATGTTGTCCCTCCCCTGATCTCTAATCAATTGTAATTCATGCACCGAACAGTTTTGCCATGAAATTCCTTGTAATGGTTTAAATTGTGGGAGACTAAGCCACAGAGATAATGAATTTTACCAGTGGAAAATAACTCCATTATTGTGCTGCTGCGCTAATGATGTCACTTCACTTATTTTACAACATTTGCTGGATTTAGAACTATCACATCCATAGTTCCAGTAGGGAATATGTTGAAAGAATAATCTCGTAGAAAATGTAAAAACATATGTGGGAGTAGAAATTGCATAATTATACAATTTCCATTCTATTTAAGTATAAGCTGTTTACTAGTAGTTTACAAATAGTGGAAAAGAGTTTTAAATCATGACTTGGCAGAATATTCTGCTTTCTCTCTTTCCTGTCAAGTGCTGAGTTACCATTCTTTTAGAATCTGATCCCTGGAGGTAAGATCCAACTCCAAGTATTCATATTGTCACTTTGCATTTGCTAACAATTCAGTGGGGGTAAATGTGGTGTCTTATAGCATTACAGCTTGGAAAACAGTGGGGGGGTACTCATAAAGAAGCATTCGATATCCTAAAATAATAAATTTAGCATATCCATCACCTCATCACTCGTGGTCACACCTCACACACCTAAATATCCTGATTTGATCTTTATGCCACACATGTATGCATCAAACATTAAATTGTAACTCAATTGCACAGTTGATAATGAGGATAAGAACAATTGAATGGTTATTTGGAGTTGGCTTTTCTCACATTCTTTGGTCCTAAATATGGTATTATTTTAAGAAAGTGTTCATTATTGACTAACTGGAAACAGACAGGGATGAATATTTAGTTTGACAAACTGGGTGTGGGAAGAGGAAGGGGATTGGAGTGAATTCTGGGAGGCTAAGCATCAATCTAAAGTGCCCCTCTTTATTTCGAATATGTAAATTTGAGTTGAGGGAAATCATTAGAATGAAAATACTTTTTAAAAATTATCATTTACCTTTAATTTTCATTAGGAAAAGTAGCTTAATATCTCAATAAATCATGTGTGAAAGAAATTAAATTAAAAAAAGAATAAATGGCATTCTAAAAATGAGGAATAGACAACCACAGGCTCTGAAAGATATATTTTACAGTGGTTATGTAAGAGTCAATTAATTCATGGAACTATTTTTTGCCACCCTAATGTTAATGTTAGAGAATCTTATGAAAGAGAGGTTAAAAGGATACATTTAATAACTTTGGAATCATGGTTGGTTATTTTTGTGTTAGCTTTATCAAAAGGTCAATCTGAAAAGTTCTGTCATGGATAACACTGTGAATGAATTAACCAAATACATTTTACACACAGTTCCAGCTAAAGGTGAAATCTATGTAACTTTAGCTGACTGATTGCTCTGACCTCAGTGGAGGTAATAATTTCATTTTAGCTTCATTTTGGACTCATTTTATTCTTGTGACATTTAATGAAATCTATAAACAAACTTAAAAAATCTTATTCAATAATTTTATACTTTGGACTTTTAAACATATTTTCATCCAAGCCATGAATTTATTGGCATGTTCTTTTGACACAGTTGCTTTGTGGAGTATGGGATTTTAGTATCTGTTTAATGGAAATTAACAAATACAATCCATTTGGTCAAACCCGTTCTATAAATTTCATTTTAAGCGAAGTTTTATGGGTATGTGCAAAGAACTCTCTCTACCATAGAAAAAGATGATAAGATTTATGGGATTTCTATTTAAAAGCTGATCCCCGCTTCACTTCTCTCTTGGTTTAAAAACTCTTTGACACATTCTCAGTAGTACAAAAATCAATCACATCAGATGCATTGTTCCTTAAATAAAATATAACTCCTTTTCATAGTCTAAAACATTCTGCATGATCTGGTTTCTATCTATCTTTCTAATCTAGTCCCAAGCCATTTGTCTGCCTTTCACTAGATTGCAAACTGGCCTTAATTCAGCTCCTCAAGCCCAGCAAGCTTACTTCTAATAAGACTTTGCATATGCTGTTCCTTCTGCCCTGCTCTTTGCATGACTGGCTCCTTTTTATTCTTTAAGTTGATGGTCCTATACGTTTTCTCTTTCTTCAAGCTATCTCCTGTTCCTAAGTACTTATATTGTGTTTATTTATATGTTGGTCTTCTGACATCTCCATTAGCCCGAAGTTGATAAATGCACACGTTAGTCACAGCAGCCAGCAAATGTGTGATATACAGTAGTTGCTCAAAAATTACTAATTGATACAAATATAACTGCAATAACTGAAAATAAACATAGTTATTAATTAGTGCCTACCTCTGAAAAAGATGCCTTCAAACAATTACTGGATACCACTGAAACTGAAATACATAGAAAAACAAAGGATTTTTAAAAGATTTTGAAAAACATAGAAAAATAAGGGATGATGTGACATATCCCAGGAAGCATTACAGTACATGATTATTTATTTTTCAAATTTTATTTCAGAATTCTAATAATAATCAAATATTAGAAACTTTTCAGAAACTATGTAGCCTCATAAATATCCTGGTAATATTGGAGTTAGTCTATAAATTATGAAAATCTACCCAATGTGCCATATAAAAATTGCATCTTTTCTGTTCAGATCTTGGCTAACAAATGTGGAAAAAGTCATTTTTATTAGAACGAGCTCGGACTCAGTGTAGAAAGGTAGAATGAATAATTTAGTATTGTAAGTCTTCAGCAACTAGCTAGTTAAAATATTTTTATTTGTTATAAAGTTGTGTTTATGATATAATTAGTGCAGAATAAAGTTAGTTGTACTATTAGGAGTTTAGGAAAGATTATATCATGAAATAAATTCGAATAAAACCTTAAAGTTGTGTTGGTTTATTCTGTAGGCAAACTAGTGAAAATATTTTAGGCAAAGCTTGAAAAGATGCTGGAAGGCCAAGCAAAAATGCCAAGAATTGGGTTAATTGGCATAATACAAGGTGGCTGGGCACAGTTGGGGAAAGTGTCAGAGTAGGAGAATCCCTACCAAGAAAGACGGTTTGTGCAATTAGCTCTCTGAACTTTAACCCTTCCAGAATAATTAATGAGTAACAGAGGGGATCAAGACAAAGACACAAAGTGATATGGTGGGTGCTAGCAAGTAATACATCAAAGAATGTTCGTAATTGGCCCTGTGGCTTTCATTCTTTGCCCTATTTCTTTCAATTCATTGACTCAAAATAATGGGTTCAGGTTCATTATCAACAGGTTTTAGCTGTAAGAGTACAACATTACAACAAAGCTTGGATTGTGGCAGTATTGATGGCCAAGTAAGAACTTGTAGTTGGTAACCACTCTTTGAAGAAGGAGAATAGCAGATTTCTTCTGAATGAATCAACAGCTTTTACACTAATATTTAGAATCTTGAAAAAGCCTTATATTCTCCAACTCTACAATGCTGGAATATGGTTGGTGTGGGCAGGTATGTATATTTCCCATTTGAATGACATTTAAGACCATGGTGAGAAGGTTTATATTCTTTGTATTATTTTAAATAAAGTTGAATTATTGACCCAGGACGTGTAAAGACATCAAGAGTTTTGTCACTCCAAGTGTGTGACTGTGTAGTTTTTCTTATAATTTTGAATTATATAGTTTGTGAAACTTTTGATTCCCTTTATTTACTTGATGATCACAATAGGAGAAAAAGTGAGAAATTCCTAACATATTTCTAAGATAAGTGTTCTGAATTATTCTAATTTAATAAGCTGAATTTGTATTGTCATGCACAAAATATACAAATTTTTTTTTAGATTTATGCTTTGTTATTTTTGTTTGGTTCTTATGTAAGGCATGGTAAATTTTATTTTTTCACTTGGATACTTACAAAATATTTTTTTCACTAGTCACTCCAAAATCTTTAGAAGAAGTTAGCCTTGTAATTATTAATTTCCATCATCATGTTACACCTATTTTAATTTTAGAGATTAGACACATTGTGCACTTATAGTCAAATACTAATTAATGCATCTGATAGTTATTATTTAGAATTTTAAATATTTTCGTAGTACTTAAAATTATCATTTTAAACTAGAATTTTACTAAAAGTCTTACATATTTTTAGCTATTTATTTCATTATCTTTATTAAAAGCATAACGTATCTTGGTATCTATGCCATATATTTATTGTTGATGTTTCAATTGAATTTTTCTAGAGCTTTGAAGACAAATTACAGTAAAGTATTACAGGAGATAGACTGAGTTGGAGATTTAGTTTTGTGATTCCAATTAAATAAAACATCTATTAAAATGCATTGAACAGGATTGATAAACAGTGTGGCTGATGAGACGGTCTAGAAACATTTAAATAGAGCCTTGTTGTAGGTGCTATACATACATATGTACATAATAATGAAATCTCTACTAATTAGACAGGATGAATCTGCTAAACACCTAATGTTTGCCAAAAAAAATTATGGCATTATCACAAATTCATATGAGCATATTGTTGGAAAATCATAGATTCTGTATAATAAATCAATGAGTCTACAAATTTAGCTTTTACATTTCTCGATGAACAGTGTTTAATTTAGCATAGTTTCTTTATTTTAGATCATAGTGGTACACTAAATTTTAAATGAAGATACTCATGTTTTTATGACTAACAGAAAGCACTTTTTCATTTTTGCTAACAAATGATTTGTTAATACACAATATTGGCAAAATAGTTCTGGTGAGTTAGAATATATTTAGGCATAATTTGGAATTTTAAGAGCTCTTAGATACCATCGTTTCAGTGTAGTTTATCAAGTTAATCTAGGAAAAGGTCCTCCTATCTCTGATATGTTATGCTAAATTTGGATGCAGTAGTGAATTTGGGAGTGAGGCAGGCACTGGGAGAATTTGCTTTTCAGTGCTAAATGTCCTCATTCACCCTGTAGCAGATACGTATGTACACACATTTATTACTTTTGCATACATTACATAATTTTATAAATATCGAATAAGCATTTCCTAATATAAGAAGCGTTGTAATAGGTGGGTTGGAAATTCAAAGATGAATAAAGTTATCATCACTAAGTTCACAGTCTCTTGGGAGACAGATGTATAAACGAATAGCAATACAATAGTGCTCAGTACCATACTAAAGATATAAGTAAAATTCTTCCTGAGCAGAAGAAAGGATCCACTAAATACATATACATGAAGGACCTCCTGGAAGATTGCATAGAAGAGGTAGCATTTAAAAGTGTGTCTTGAGAGGTAAACATTAATCAAGCAAGAAAGGCGCAAGATGAAGGGATGTATCATTTGAAGTTACCAAGGTATAAAGAGCATACAGTGTTCGAAAAGCTACAAATTAAGTTGCTTAAAAGATTACTTTGAGTATAAAGTGTTGGTTTGAAAGTTGCTGGTATATTGGGCTAATACATTGTGTGGAGTCAGGTTGAAAAATACCTCATATCTGTGCTAAAGAATTTGGGCTTAATTCTGAGAGCTATAGTGGGAACTTTGGAGTACCAATAAGAGCACATGCTTTAGGAAGACGAGTGTGTAGGCAGTGGGTTGCTGATTTGGAGAGAGCAGTTACCAGCGGCAGCTCTTGCTGGAAAGCTGCTGTAACTTTTTACACAATAAACCATGACCTACTTAACTAAGGCAGGGCAGTGGTCATAGAGAAGAGTAGGGCTGATTTAAAGGAGATTGCTGAGATAGATTGCAGAGGATTTGATACGGACAGCTGAAGAAGTTCATATAGTTGAGGAAAATCCCTGAGATTTATGTTTTTGGTGTTTGGTACATTGTGATCATAATATTTCTTTGTGGGAAGATAATGAGATGGACTTATTTTTTTTTTATTTCTGAGATTTTGGTGCACCCATCACCCTAGCAGTGTACACTGTACCCAGTGGGTAGTCTTTTATCCCTCACCCCCTCCCACCTTTTCCCCAGAGTTCCCAAAGTCCAATGTATAATTCTTATGCATTTGTGTCCTCATAGCTTATCTCCCACTTACGAGTGAGAACATATGATGTTTGGTATTCTATTCCGGAGGTACTTCACTTAGAATAATCTCCAGTACCTTTGCTGTGAATGACATTATTTCATTCATTTTTATGGCTGAGTAGTATTCCATTTTATATTTATACACACACACACACACACACACACACACACACACACACACTACATTTTCTTTATCCACTCGTTGATTGATGGGGATTTGGGCTTCTTCCATATTTTTGCAATTGCAAATTGTGCTGCTATAAACATGCGTGTGCAAGTATCTTTTTCATGTAATGGCATCTTTTCATCTGGCCAGATACCTAGCAGTAGGATTGCTGGATCAAATGATAGATATACTTTTAGTTCTTTAAGGAATCTCCACACTGTTTTTCATAGAGGTTGTGCTGGTTTACATTCCCATCAACAGTTAAGTGTTCCCTTTTCACCACATCCATGCCAACATCTATTATTTTTTGATTTTTTGATATGGCCATTCTTGCAGGAGTAATGTGGCACTGCATTGTGGTTTTGATTTGCATTTCCCTGATAATTAGTGATGTTGAGCAATTTTCCATATGCTTCTTGGCCATTTGTATATCTTGTTTTGAGAATTATCTATTCATGTCCTTATCCCACTTTTTGATGGGAATGTTTTTTGTTGTTGTTGTTTTTTGTTTTTTCTTCTCATCGATTTGTTAGAGTTCTTTGTAGATTCTGGATATTAGTCCTTTTTCTGGTGCATACATTGTAAAGATTTTCTCCCACTCTGTGGGTTGTCTTTTCACTCTGCTGATTATTTCTTTTGCTGTGCAGAAGCTTTTTAGTTTAATTAAGTCCCATCTATTTATCTTTTTGTTGCATTTGCTTTTGGGTTCTTGGTCATGAAGTCTTTGCCTAAGCCAATGTCTAGAAGGGTTTTCCCAATGTCTAGAATTTTTGTGGTTTCAGATCTTGGATTTAAGTCCTTGATCCATCTTGAGTTAATTTTTTTATAATGTGAGAGATGAGGATCTAGTTTCATTCTTCTAATGTGGCTTGCCAATTATCCCAGCACGGTTTGTTGAATAGGATGTCATTTCTTCACTTTATGTTTTTGTTTGCTTTGCTGAAGATCAGTTGGTTGTAAGTATTTGGCTTTATTTCCAGGTTTTCTATTCTGTTCCATTGGTCTATGTGCCTATTTTTAAACCAGTACCATGCTGTTTTGGTGAGTATGGCCTTGTAGTACCTTTTGAAGTCGGGTAATGTGATGCCTCCAGTTTTGTTCTTTCTGCTTAGTCTTGCTTTGCTTATGCAGGCTCTTTTTAGGTTCTGTATGAATTTTAGGATTCCTTTTTCTAGTTCTGTGAAGAATGCTGATGGTATTTTGATGAGAATTACATTGAGTTTGTACATTGATTTTGACAGTATGGTCATTTTCACAATATTGATTCTACCCATTCATGCATCTGGGATGTGTTTCCATTTGTTTATGTCATCCATGATTTCTTTCAGCAGTGTTTTGTAGTTTTCCTTGTAGAGGTCTTTCAAGTTCTTGGTTAGGTATATTTCTAAGTGTTTTATTTTCTTTACAGCTGTTATAAAAGGGGTTGAGTTATTGATTTGATTCTCAGCTTGGTCACTGTTGGTATATAGGAGAAATACTGATTTGTGTACATGAGTTTTGTATCCTGAAACATCACCGAATCCATTTATTAGTTCTAGGAGCTTTTTGGATGAGTCTTTAGAGTTTTCTAGGTATACGATCTTACCATCAACAAACACTAACATTTTGACTTCCTCTTTACTGATGTGGATGCCCTTTATTTGTTTTTCTTGTCTGATTGCTCTGGTTAGGGCTTCCAGTACTATGTTCAATAGAAGTGGTGAAAATGGGCATCCTTGTCTTGTGCCAGTTCTCAGGGGGAATGCTTTTCATTTTTTCCCATTCAGTAGTGTGTTGGCTATGGGTTTGTAGTAGATGGCTTTTATTACCTTAAGGTATGTTCCTTCTATGCTGATTTTGCTGAGGGTTTTAATCATAAAGAGATGGTGGATTTTGTCAAATGTTTTTCCTGCGTCTATGGAGATGATCATGTGATTTTTGTTTTTAATTCCTCTTATGTCATCTATCACATTTATTGACTTGGATATGTTAAACTATCCCTGCATCCCTGGTATGAAACCCACTTGACATGGTGGACTATCTTTTTGTTATGCTGTTGGATTCAGTTTGCTTGTATTATGTTGAGGATTTTTGCATCTGTGTTCATCAGGGATATTGGCCTGTAGTTTTATTTTTTGGTTATGTCCTTCCCTGGTTTTGGTATTAGGGTGATATTGACTTCATAGAATGATTAAGGGAGGATTCCCTCTTTATCTTTTGGAATAGTGTCAGTAGGATGGGTACCAATTCTTCATTGAATGTCTGATAGAATTCAGCTGTGAATCTGTCTGGTCCTGGACTATTTGTATTGGCAATTTTAAAAATTACCATTTCAATATCACTGCTTGCTATTGGTCTGTTCAGAGCTTCTATATCTTCCTGGTTTAATCTAGGAGGGTTGTATATTTCCAAGAATTTATCCATCTTCTCTAAGTTTCCTAGAGTATGCATGTAAAGGTGTTCATAGTAGCCTTGAATAATCTTTTGTATTTCTGTGGTATCAGTTGTAATATCTCCTGTTTCATTTCTAATTAAGCTTATTTGGTTCTTCTTTCTTCTTTTCTTGGTTAATCTCATTAATGGTCTATCAATTTTATTTATCTTTTCAAATAACCAGCTTTTTGTTTCATTTATCTTTTATATTTTTGTTTGTTTCAATTTCATTTAGGTCTTCTCTGATCTTCATTTCTTTTCTTCTGCTGGTTTGGGGTTTGGTTTGTTCTTGTTTCTCAAGTTCTGTGTGATGTGACCTTAGATTGCCCATTTGTGCTTTTTAATACTCTTTGATGAAGGAATTTAATGCTATGACCTTTCCTCTTTCATTGTTGACCCAATGATCATTCAGGAGCAGGTTATTTAATTTGCATGTATTTGCGTGGTTTTGAGGGTTCCTTTTGGAGTTGATTTCAAATTTCATTCCACTGCAGCCTGAGAGAGTATTTGATATAATTTTGATTTTCTTAAATTTACTGATAGTTGTTTTGTGGCCTATCATATGATCTATCTTGGAGAATGTTCCATGTGCTGATGGATAGAATGTATATTCTGCAGTTGTTGGGTGGAATGTTGTGCAAATATCTGTTAAGTCCATTTGTTGTAGGGTATAGTTTAAGTTAATTGTTTCTTTGTTGACTTTCTGTCTTGATGACCTATCTAGTGCTGTCAGTGGAGTATTAAAGTCCCCCACTATAATAGTGTTTCTGTTTATCTCATTTCTTAGGTCTAGCAGTAATTGTTCTATAAATTTTGGAGGTCCAGTGTTAGGTGCATCTATATTTAGGATTGTGATATTTTCCTGTTGAACTAGTCCATTTATCACTATATAATGTCCCTCTTTGTCTTTTTTAACTGCTATTGCTTTAAGGTTTTTTTTGTCTGATATAAGAATAACTACTCTTGCTTGCATTTGGTTTCCATTTGCATGGAATATCTTTTTTCACCCCTTTACCTTAAGTTTATATGAGTTCTTATGTGTTAGGTGTGTCTCCTGAAGAAAGCAGAAACTTGGTTGGCGAATTCTTATCCGTTCAGCCATTCTGTATTTTTTAAGTGGAGCACTTTGGCCATTTACATTCAACATTAGCATTGAGATGTGAGGTACTATTCTATCCATTGTGCTATTTGTTGCCTCAATACCTGGTTTATTTTTTTCATTGTGTTATTGTTGTATAGGTCTTGTGAGATTTAAGGAGGTTCTATTTTGGTGTATTTCAAGGATTTGTTTCAAGATTTAGAGCTCCTTTTAGCAGTTCTTGTAGTACTGGTTTGGTAGTGGCAAATTCTCTCAGCATTTGTTTGTCTGGAAAAGACTGTATCTTTCCTTCATTTACGAAGCTTAGTTTCACTGGATAAAAAATTCTTGGCTGATAATAGTTTTGCTTAAGGTGGCTAAAAATAGGACCTCAATCCCTTCTAGTTTGTAGAGTTTCTGCTGAGAAATCTGCTGTTAATCTGGTAGGCTTTCATTTATAGGTTACCTGATGCTTTTGCCTTACAGCTCTTAAAATCCTTTCCTTTGTCTTGACTTTAGATAATCTGATGACTATGTGACTAGGTGATGATCTTTTTGCAATAAATTTCCCAGATGTTCCTTGAGCTTCTTGTATTTGGATATCTAGATCTCTAGGAAGGCTGGGGAAGTTTTTCTCAATTATTTTCTCAAGTATGTTTACCAAATGTTTAGATTTCTCTTCTTCCTCAGGAACACCAATTATTCTTAGGTTTGGAGGTTTAACATAGTTCCAAACTTCTTGGAGGCTTTGTTCATTTTTAAATATTCTTTTTTCTTTGTCTTTGTTGGACTGGGTTAATTTGAAAGCCTTACCTTCGAGCTCTGAAATTCTTTCTTCTGCTTGTTTATTGTATTGCTGAGACTTTCCAGTGCATTTTGCATTTCTCTAAGTGTGTCCGTGATTTCCAGAAGTTGTGATAGCTTTTTATTTATGCTATTTATTTCACTGAAGATTTTTCCCTTCATATCCTGTATCATGTTTTTGATTTTTTTGAGTTAGACTTCACTTTTCTCTGGCGTCTCCATGATCAGCCTAATAATCGACTTTCTGAATTCTTTTTCTGGCAATTCAGAGATTTCATCTTGGTTTAGATCCATTGCTGGTGAGCTGGTGTGATCTTTTGGGGGTGTTAAAGAAACATGTCTTGTCATATTACCAGAATTGTTTCTGTGGTTCCTTCTCATTTGGGTAGACTATGTCAGAGGGAAATCTGGTACTCAAGGGCTACTGTTCAGATTCTTTTGTCCTATGGTGTGCTCCCTTGATGTGGTGTTCTCCTGCTTCCCCTAGGAATGGGGCTTCTTGAAAGCTGAACTGCAGTGATTGTTTTTGCTTTTATGGGTCTAGCCACCCAGTGGAGCTACTGGGCTCCAGGCTGGTACTGGGGAGTGTCTGTAAAGAGTCCTGTGATGTGACCCATCTTGAGGTCTTTCAGCCGTGGATAACAGCACCTGTTCCAGTGGAGGTAGCAAGGGAGTGAAGTGGACTCTGTGAGGGTCCTTGGTTGTGTTTTCATATAGTGCACTGGTTTTATGTTGGTTGGCGTCCAGCCAGCAAGTGGCACTTTCAAGAGCGCATTAGCTGTGGTGTTACAGGGAGGATGCAAACTTGCCCTAGGGATGCCTGGTTAAGTATTCAGATTTCTCAGGTGGTGGGTAGGACCATAGAGCTCCCAAGAGATTATGACCTTTGTCTTTGGCTACCAGGGCAGGTAGAGAAAGACCACCAGATGGGGGTGGGTATAGGTGTGTCTGAGCTCAGACTCTCCTTGGTTGGGGCTTGCTGCTGTGGGGATGAGGATGTGGTTCCCAGGAAAATGGAATTATGTTCCTAGGGGTTATGGCTGCCTTTGCTGAGTCATGCAGGTTGCCAGGGAAGTGGGGGAAATCCAGCAGCCACAGGCCTCATCCCGTTCCCACACAGATGGCAGTCTTAAAGGCTGGTCTCACTCCCACTGTGCCCCACCCCCAACAGCACCAAGTCTGTTTCCAGGCAGCTGGTGACCAGGGCTGAGAACTTGCCCCAGACCACGAGCCTCCCTGTTGAGAAGGCAAGCACACCCACATTTTTTTGCTGTCTCAGTGAGCCTGCAGCAGCAATCCAGTTCCCCTTCAAAGGGTCTGTGGATTCCCTCAGCTTTCTCTCCAGTAGTTCTTGGAGCAAAATTTCATGATGTGAGTCTCCACACACTGCTCTGTCTATCCGGGTGGGTGCTGCAAGCTAGTCCTGCCACCTGTCCGCCATCTTAATCCTATATCTGAGATGGACTTTTAAAAAAATAGCTTCACTGAGATACAATTCGTAGTCCATTTAGTTCACCCAAGTAAAGTGTACAATTCAATAGTTTTTTAGTATATTTACAGAGTTGTGCAAACATTACCACAATCTAACTTTAGAACATTTTCAATACCCTCTCCAAAGAAAACCATCATATCTATTTGCAGTCCCTCTCTATTACCCTCATTTCCCCAACTCTTTTGTTAGTAGTGTCTTTGAATAAGCATAACGTTTTCGAGATTTAGCCATAGGATGTCATGTATCAGAACTTCATTTTCATTCGTTTTTATTGGCAAATAATATTTCATTGATGGACACACTGCATTTTATTCATCTGTTTATCAATTGGTGGACATTTGGGTTGCTTCTGCTTTTTGCTATTGTGAATAACGCTGCTATAATATATGTGTAGAAGTTTTTGTATGAATATATATGTTTCATTTTGAGACATATCTATATATACCCTATGTATGTGATTACTGGTGCACATGGTATGGTAACCCTATGTTTCATACTTCAAGGAATGCTAAATTATTTTCCAAAGTGGCTGCACAATTTTACATTCTCACCAGAAATTTATAAACATTCCAGTTTCTCCACATCCTCACCAAAAATTATTATTATTGGTCTTCTTGCTTTAGCTATCTTAGTGTGCATGAAGCAGAATCTTACTGTAGTATTGAATTACATTTTTCTAATGATTAATGACATTTAACATCTTTTCATGTGCTAATTGGCTATTTCTATAACTTCTTTGAAGAAGTGTCTAATCAGATCCTTTGCCCATTTTTAATGGGTTTCTTTTATCTTTTTAAATAAGTTGTAAGAGTTCTTCATATATTTTGGATAAAAGCCCCTTGTCGTGCATATAATTTGCAAATAATTCCTCCCATTATGTGGGTTGTCTTTTCAATTCTTGTTGGTGTTCTTTGGAGGACAAACATTTTTCATTTTGGAAGTCCATTTATATATGTGTGTGTGTGTCTGTGTGTGTGTGTATGCATGCACACATATATACACATACACAAAAAATATATAATGTATAATATTTAGGTAAATACATATTTAGTAATCATAAATATATATAAGCATATATATGTTTTCTTTTAAGAATTTTATAGTTTTAGATCTTATGATTAGGTCTGAGATCCATTTTAAGTTAATTAATGTGTTTGTTGTGAAGAAGGGGTCCACTTCCTTCTTTTGCATGTAAATAATCCAGTGTCCCTGTACCATTTGTTGAAGAGATAATTATTTGCCATTTTATTGTCTGAGCACCCTTGCTGAAAGTCAATTGACCATAAATGTAAGGGTTTATTTCTAGACTCCATTTTATTCTATTGATCTATGTCTATTATTTCTGGACTCTCAATTTTATTCTATTGATCTATGTCTATTATTTCTGGATTTCTATTGTAGTCCATTGACCTATGTTTATTCTTGACCAGTTCCAAATTGTTCTGATTATTTTAGTTTTGTTGTAAGTTTTGAAATAGGAAATTGTAAGTTTTCCAACTCAGTTTTTAGCTGTTCTTTTTCAAGACTTGTTTGGCTATTCTGGGTCCATTGACTTTCCATATGAATTTTAAGATCAGCTTGTCAATTTATGCAAAAAAACTTTCTCAAATCTTGGTGGAGAGTTCACTGAATCTGTAGATCAACTTGGAAATTGTTGAAATCTCAACAGAGTATACACGTGCTATGGTAGTTTGCTGCAACCTACATGTTCTGCACATGTATCCCAGAACTTAAAGTATAATAAAAAAAAAAAGAAAAATACTCCAAGTTTTCTAAGAGCCATTTGCTTATCATTAATTAAAACAATTTTGCATGAAATCTCAACAGAGTTATATGTTCATATCTATCACCATGGGATGTCTCTTCAATTATTTAGATCTTTCTTTCAACAATATTTTGGAGTTTTAGAATACAAACTTGCATTTCTTTTGCTAAATTTATTTCCAGGTATTTTATTTCCTAATGCATTGTAAATGGAATTGTTTTCTTAATTTCATTTTTGGATTGCCCATTCCTTACTTATGGAAATTTATTAGTTTTGTTTATTGATCTTGCATCTTGCAGTCTTGTTAAACTCATTTATTAGTTCTAATACCTCTCCAGTGAATTCTTTAAGATTTTCTATGTACGAGATCATGCCATCTACAAACAGAGATAGTATATTTCTTCATTTGCAGTCTGGATGCTTATTTTTTTGTTTAATTATTTAATTAATTAATTATTAATTAATTATTTAATTGCACTCTCTGGACCCTCCAGCACAATGTTAAACAGAGGTGGCAAGAGTGGGTATCCTTGTATTGTTCCTGTTAGTAGGGAGAAAGCATCCAGTTTTTCATCATTAAGTATCATCTTAACTGTGTTTTTTCATAGATACCCTATATTAAGTTGAAGAAGTTCCCTTTGATTCCTAGTTTCTTGAATACTTCTTTTCATAAGAGTGTGCTATATTTTGTCAGATGCTTTCTCTGCATCTATTGAGATGTTCATGTGGTTTTATAAGTTGATATTTAAAAAATTTAAACTTACCAGTCCATGGATACACATCAATACAACATTATAAGGCTACTTAAATATTTCTGTAATAAATCGTTCTTTTAAATAATATGTATCTTTAAGAAAAATGGTCCCAGCCACAAAAGTATGTTCTGTGTTTACCATACTTTAGCTGAATACTTGTTTAGCTTCCTGTTCTGATATAAATATCTGCTTTCATTAGAATAACTCCATGTCTGTGATAACATGCTTGGATTTTCTCATGTTAAACAATACATATCAAAGCATAAAAATAATGCATTTAATATTAAAATACATACAATTGTAGCTACAGCTGAGTACTTGTGTGTGTTTATTTAAGAAGTTAGTTTTTACTTTATGAGCAAAAGGAATGTATTTACTATTCTACTTAATATTCAAAAATAAAAAGGCATTCAGATTGGAAAAGAAGCAATAAAACTATCTCTATTTGTAGATAGCATGGTCTTATACATAGAAAATTCTAAAGAATTTGCTCTAAAGCTATTAGAACTAAAAAAAGAGATTAAAATGTAAACATAGCTTTCTGTGTAAAATATTCCATACCTTCTTTTTGCCCATAAAATAAAAATTAACTTATTTAATTTAATAAACACACACATATTCAGCTATAGCTGTAATTTTATGTGTTTTCAATGAAGCCAGAATGGGGCTAATCTTTGGGAAAGAAATCAACAATGAATAGCTGTACTTTAATTAAGGTCTTTTATGTATTTCTGTTTTGAGAAATACACATTTTCTAATTTAAGTAATACTACTGTTACTACTAAGTAATACTACATATTTTACTTGAAATTGTGGCATACACAATGTAACTGAAAATAGGTTTCAGTTTTGATATGATATTTAAACATGAGAAAATCCAAGCACATTATCACAGGCAGGGAGGCATTCTAATGAAGGCAGATATTTATATCAGAACAGGAAGTTGTGAGCATTCATAAGAGAATTACTTAAAATACAATTTGTGCATTATAGGGCAACTGCAGGATTTCTTTCACTGTATCTTCTACATAACAATCATTATAAATCATCTTCTACATAACAATCATTATAAATGACTAAATAAATCTCTTTAGATCTAGTCAAGTACACTTTTTAGAAAAAGTAGGAATATTTTTCTAATTTAACAACTTATTCTTAAAATCATGTTAAGAATAATTTAACAACTTATTCTTAAAATCATGTTATTCCTTAAAAATACCTTTGATAATACTGTATATTAAAATCTCAGTCAATATAAATATTTCTGTATTGCTATCTACCTGAGTTGCCCTTTAAAAACCTAATACCTTGATCCATATTCAGGTTTTTTTTTTTTAACTCTAGTATGCCTGCTGTGATGAAAGAGTCATCTCATCTTGTACTAATTTCATTTGATACATGGAATATCATTATGTCATAGCTGTTGGGGTAAGCTTAAGTTCAGAGAATCTCTAAACTTTAATATTATTTTTGTGTCAAGAATATTTTTCTTTTCATTTAGGTGTCTATTTTGGCATCTAAATATAGCAAAAATGTTGGCTTTTTGATCCTCAAAATATCTCATTTTAAAAATCGTTTTCTTATACAATAACCAAATAAAATAGCTTAAAATATGTTTTTGCATGTATTTATCATTTGAATCTTTGTCTTTCTTTTCTTTAATCATTCTGCAGAGAGCACAGATGGTTATAAGTTAGTGGAATTTTCAAGTCGATTTGATTGTGCATTAATTGAATGTGTATGTGTGTATTATGTGTTACTGTGGGTTTTGGGTCCTTATTTTTCTTTCTGTCTTGTTCTTCATATAGAATTATTTCTTCTAATACACTTTTGGTGAATTATTTTTTCATGCTTCTCTAATAAAAGGAACATGGACAATAACACTGTTAACTTTGATTTTATTAAAGTTGTATAATAAGGATATCTAAGAGTGTTTTTAATTTGGTCATAGAAAAATCTTAATACTTGACAGCTAAATTTTGCCATTAAAACTTCAATGTATGTCTAGGAGACAATAATGTTTATTGTGATGTATATTAAAAGAGAACATTTCTGACCCACAGCTAAAATAGGTGTATGTATTGAATTATGTTTCTTTTTATTTCCAATGTGTTTATATGTATTCTTCCGGTTTATCTCATGACCCAATGATACTCATTTCTGGAAGTCTAATATTAGATTGTTTGGTACCAAAATACTAAGGCATTTAACACTACAATTTTGTATTAGGTCGTTTGAGGTAATTTATTGGTTCAGTCGTTGCTTATAAATATTAGATTTCTAAATAACTTAATTTTCAAATGAATACATTTTGGGACATTTTTTGGTATAAGCAAAAATCTATTTGTTTGCTTTGGGGATTAATTTGACTTTACACTTTGGTGGCAAAGAAGTAATAAATGAATATACTTGATATTTTAACATGAGAAACATTAAATTTTATAGGTTTTATTAATAATTAACAAGGTTGAATTTCTTCGGAAATTTTGAAAATAGCTGCATTTATATGTATATATACACACACGCGCACACACACACATATACATATATAGACACACATATTTATGTTGTTTTTATATTGCTTTGTATATGCATATATTTATGTAAAGACATAAATGCACACATAAATATGTACATATTAAGTATGTATGTATATTTATAATGTTTTTATATTCTACAAATTATTTAACATTGTTTTATACATCTACATATTTATATATTTATATGTTCATATTGTTTTAAAAGAAGCAGATCTGAGAAATTCAGAGTACATCATCACTACAGGCTGAAACTGGTCACATATTTTGACAGATTAAAATTACTCTAGTCCAGAAATTAGACCTAAATCTCTAAAAGTATTTAAAAATTAATCAGTAGAAAGATGAATTGTGGTTGGCAAAAGACCATGTAGGATGCTTTTGTGATTTTCCACACAAGAAACCATGAACCCCATCAACTAAAGCAGGGACAGTGGGAAGGAGAAAAGTGGGAAGATTGCTCAACTACTGATTAATACATTGCTGGCATAGCATTAGCCATTAATTATAACATCTTTGGAAAAGAAAGCAGTGCTCATTAAAACTCTACATGAATAAATCATGTTATTCTAAAATTATAGTTATAATCATGACACATCACTATTACATTGTTCATTAATAGTGTTTCATCTACCTGGAGGCAAGGTTCAAGGAAGGTTTTAGAGGATGTATTCTTTGAACTTTTCCTCTTCAACATTTTTATCATCAGCAGAAAGAAGGAATATGTATCAAACATATCCATAGGATTACTCAAACTCTTTATTTCATATTGAGTCAATTCTGATGAACCTTTTTTTTAGAAATTTGTAAATTTTGTTTTCAAAATATACCCAAATAGGGATTGATAATACTCTCATTATCTCTTCATTTCCTTCTTTATCTGTGGTTCTGTCTTTCAAAATACATCATATTGTTTATGTCTCCTCTATTCTTCTAATCAATTTTGCCAGAGTTTTTTTATCTTATTTTCTCCTCCTGCAAAGAATCAGCACAGCCTTCTTGATCTTTAGAGTGCCTCTGGTTTGTATTTCACTGAATTTGCAAAATTATCACTCTTTCTATATATGACAGTTCAACATATTAGCTGAAAATCAAAGTATGAAGAAATGTAGAGTTTATAAACCCTAAATTTGACAAATCTTAAAGAATCATATTTGCCTATGTTTTCTATTTTCTTCAAGTTGTGTTCTCATTTCTATTATTTCATCAAGTTCAGGGTTTGTATCATTTCCATTATTTCAATGTGTTCAGGTTCTGTATATTTTATTTTTGAAAATGTCATTGGAAAATATTGTATGGATGTTACAGCGAAAAATGAGAGAAAGTTGATTTTTGTTACAGCTTACATATGAATTAAAAATCTAGATGTATCTAGTAGATTTTCTGCTGTTGCTTTCTGGCTTTGGGATGTACTTCTTGCCTTTTATTTTTGGATTTATTAATTCTCATTAAGATATGTGAAGGCAAAGCATTATTTTCTAGTATTGTTAAAATAATCATTAATATTTTATTTCATAGATAATATGCATATATACTAGTAAGCTTTTCTATTATTTTGTTAATTATTCCAAAAGTCTTCAAACTGTTGAAAAAATATGACTGTAGTGCATTATGGCATATTGTTTGGAATATTAGAAAGTTTTAGCATCAGAGACTTAGCTTAATTATTTCTTAGATATAGCTTTATATTTCCCAGCTTTTTACCTCATCATTACCTATGTACCCACACTATACATTTACAATTTACTTTCCTACCCTTGCTGATTTTTGGGTCAAGTCTCTAAATGCTTGCTTTTAGGTTGCACTCAATGTAATACTTAATCAAACAATTTTAGGCTTAGTAACATTGATGTAGTTATTTGCCCAGGTTCAGTGAGATCAGGGCTGAGCTTAGAAGAAAAAGAAGCAACTATCCTGTCATACATGGGATTTCCAAGTCTCCCAACCCCCGACAAAAATACAAAAAAACATATTGCTTCAACTTTGCTTGAAATTGTTATTTCATTTTGCAGCACTCCCTGAAATTCTACCAATTAAGTCTTCATTTGAAATATAGTAAGTATTCCTTTTCAAAACAAGCAAGAAAAAAATTCCCAAATGGTCGATATTTTTATGGACTTATTTTTTTTCAAATGTCTTAGATATATCAGAGAGATAGAGTAGGAATTTGAGAGAACATGGTGAGAAAATTTTGGGTCAAGATTTTCAGGGAGGTATAGGCTTAGGGTGACATACAGCACTTTGGGTTAGAAATGAGATGAGAGCTCCTGTCCTTCCCTCTTCCATCAAGGAATTTAATTCATCAAAGCACTGAATGCTGCAGGTTAATGGCCAAACACATTATTAGGCCGAAGAGGAATGTGGAGTAAGTGTGGGAAAGACTTTAGTCAAGGACATAGTCCATTATGGCTAATGATGAATTAAGTAAAATTGAGTTTGGAAGTAATAGCCACCCACAATTTTCACATAGTAGATCTCAATAAATATTTACTAAATTAACAAGTAAATGCATATTCAGAAAAGGTAGGAACAAGTGTCAAATATTCAAAGCAGTAGACACAGGGAAATGCATCACTGACTACTCTGTATAAGAAGAAATTGCCCTATGCAATACAGAGTGAAAACCAGTCAAGCTAAATGCTTATAGTCATGGATATCCAAAATACTCGGTTGATTGATTACAGGTTTTTTTCATATTTCTCTTGTTTTCATTTCTTGTTTCACCTTCTGTTTTATAATACAGAGCCAAGAATGGTCAACATCTCACTGGAGGTGCCATTATGTTTTCACTGAAATCAGAGGCATTGCAGATATTCTCAAATTAGTGCTTGAAATCACTGATTCATTTCTGCCTTAGACATGGAAACGTCTATGAATATTACATGTTACCTAAACATCTAAAATGAGGGAATCCTGAGTAAAATAAACTATGAAAGATAAAAAGTTTTTATGTTCTATGGCCCTATGTTCTATGGCCTCATCCTTCTGGCCTAGAGGGTTTATCTCAGGGATCTTTCTAAGTCTCCCTTTTATGAGGTACCACGTGCAATAATTCTAAGAAATGCTAGTACACAAATCAGAATTTAAAAGTTAATTAAAATATATTTTTCCATTTTATAAAAACTGATTTGATACTTTATATCATTTTAATTTTTCCTTAAATACATACACTTCTTAAGTGAATGATTAAACTCCAAATATTTCATTTGAAATTACCACTTGGCCAAGACAAATTATGGCCTCTACATAAACTGTACTTTGACTTTAATAGGATACATACTTGCACTGTGTAAACTAAACGGTGCCTAGGGAATAATTTAAGCCTTTTGTGAATTGCATTATCTTCTCAAGACCACGAGGGCACCATTCAGTTCACTGAAATGGCCATTTACACAGTAGACATAATCCTGTGTTCTATATTCAGGTCCAGAGATAAAAAAAATTGTAATTGTATTTTTTAAATATCATGAAAACAATTACAACTTGGTTAAATTGCTTCATCTGAACTAGTTCATTGCCCAGTTACATTCAAACACTCAAATATTTTCCACTTTTCCTAGGCTCATTACAACTGAGAAAGAAAATTTTTACTCCCAAAGATAATTTGACATTTTAAAATAAGAAGATATACTGCTTTTCAGATTTATCTCATATATATATATATAACCCCTGATAGTTTTAAAAACATGACTCCCTATTTCATCTCCACTAACCCATAATTACAAACTAAAAATATCTTATTTTCTAGCATACTAAATGTTGATTAATCTCTTAGACATGAACTTACATTAACTTATATCAAAAGAAAGACGTAAGTTATATTAATTTCTAATCAGAAATGCAGCTACCAAGGTACTGCATATTTGTGTCCTCCAATGAGTATATTTGATCTTTGTAGATCAGCTTTGTCATGGGCCTGGAATCAGAATAAAGGGGAGTTGGCTAAGTCATTCAAACGTCTAATGGCAGCAGGTAATGACAAATGGGTGAATTCATCTCCTCAATAGGGATAGAAGAGCCACTGGAGCCATTAGGCTATAAGCAGGGCATCATCTTCCTTGGGCAAGTCTGTAATGGGCTTTGCTAGCATTTGCCAGTGATTCTTACTTTAAATTGTTTCCACTGCTGGTATAGCTATTTCTGTTTGATGTATTTTTTTCTTCAGGCAATCCAATAACCTCAATCGGGTTGCATTCCATTTTTTAGCTGCCTAGGAAGCCCTCTTCTCTCTTTAAGTTGGCACCATGTAGCTCCAGTGAGATCTACTATGTTTCAATTCTGCTGCAGAGGGCAATCTGATGTCCCTAAGGAACAATAGGGCATCATTATTCTTAGGTATTCATGCTGTAGCACTTGAATGTGCTGTAATTAAAAGTCTATATTTGATATAAATTCTTCTTTTCGTTCCCATTTTGATCAAAGTGATACATACTCAAATGGTTCAACAAGGCTTTTATGAAAATCTACCATACTCATCCCCTCCCTTCATTTTCCCTGTCTCAGAAGCAACTCCATACACAAGTATTGCTGATTCGTTTGGTATGAGTTGAGTCTCTAGATTATGCAGTTGAACCATACTTTTTGGCTTGACAGCTTTAAGCATTATCAACTGACTTCCCAGTTCAAAGGACCAGAAATCACCTCTTTCCTCCACTCACTCCCATAATGCATGAAGTATCTTTCTATATTTTCATTTCTCAATACAATTGTTATTTTGCTTAGATTAATATAATGTGTCTACATTATTATACCATGTAAGCACCATTCATAATGGAATGATAAGGTAAACCATGATTAATTTCCTTTACTGCTCAATGTTCTCCTAGGAACTTTTCTCAGGTGTCTTGTAGTCTTGGGATTTTTGCTCATATTTAAGAATCAGAGGTTCATATAATTATTGGAAATCTTGGTAGCATGGCTGGGGCATGTTGACTGTTAGCTGCATTGTAAAATGATCATATTGCACTGTTTTATACCTTTGCCTTCAGATTTTTCCTCTTGTGCTGGTCTGGTTTCCAAGGAAAGATCATCTAAGTCTCCTTTTCGAAGAGTAGTGGCCTGGCTGTGAGTGTTCTGAGTATTCTGGAGAATAGAACTGGTGGGCTTGTGTTCAATTCATCCTCCTGTTTTCAGGAGAACAATCCACTCTTGTGTCTTGTGTCTAACTCATAGAATATCTTGATTATTTTCTTTAGACAATTAATCTCCATGGTTTTATTAGGGTAAAACAGAGGACACTGGAATCTAACAGCGAATCTCTCAGTATGAACATTTCAGTTCTCATCTTATTTTCAGGGGTACCTGTGGCCAACAGTTCTGGAGACTTTTTTGCTTTAAGGCCCAGAACTCCTTGATTTTCCATGGTGCTTTCTTAAATCTAGTTTTCTTAGATCTTTCATAAGTTGCCACTAATTCAGCTGCTTCTCTTTTTTTTAATTTTACTTTAAGTTCTGGGATACATGTGCAGAATGTGCAGGTTTGTTACATAGGCATACATATGCCACGGTGGTTTACTGCACCTATCAACCCGTCATCTAGGTTTTAAGCCACCCATGCATTAGGTATTTGTCCTAATGCTGTCCTTCCCCTTGCCCTCCACCCCCTTGAGTTGCTTTTCAGTTTCCAAAACTGCCATTGTGTTTCTCTTTCCTTTTTTCTTTATTATTGTGGGTTTTGTTTTCTTTACCACAGCTTTATTGAGTTATGATTGACATAGAATAAACTGCACATATTTAAAAGATATATTTTTAAAAATAATTAATTTTTTATTTTATTTTATTGACAAATAAAAATAATATATATATTATTTTGTACAACATGGTGTATATATACCTATTTTAAAATAGGTATATATGGAAGAATGGCTCCATCAAGCTAATTAAATATGCCTTACCTCAAATACTTTTTCGTGGTGAGAACACTTAAAATTCAGTCTCAGTGATTTTTAACAATATAGTACATTCTGATTAACTATAGTCACCATGTTGTACAATAAATCTCTTTAAGTTATTTTTCCTATCTAGCTGAAATTTTGTATCCTTTGGCCAGCATCTCTCTAACTGCCCCCCCGCTCCATCCCAGGAAACCCCAGTTCTACTCTCTACTTCTATTGAGTTCAGTTTTTTTAGATCTTCTATATAAGTGAGATCATTCAGTGTTTGTCTTTTTGTTCCTGGCTTATTTCACTTTGGGTACATATCTAAAGGAAATGAAATCATTAAGTCGAAGAAATATCTGCACTCCCATGTTCATTGTAGCGTTATACAAAATAGCCAAGAATGAAATCAACCTAAGTGTCCATCAATGAATGGAGAGATAAAGAAAATGCAGTATGTTTACCCAATGTAATGCTATTCAGCCTTAAAAAGGAAGGAAATCCTGTTATTGTAAAAACATGGATGAACCTAGAGGACATTATGTAAAGAATATATTTCAATAATTTTTAATATATGTATACACCTGTGAAACTGTCACCACAATCAAGATAGTAAATATATCCATCATCACCCCAGGGTGTTCTTTTTTCTTTTTTGAGACAGTCTCTCTCTGTTGCCCAGGCTGGAGTGCATTGGTGTGATCTTGGCTCACTGCAACCTCCATCTCCCAGGTTCAAGTGATTCTCCTGCCTCAGCCTCCGGAGTAGCTGGGACTACAGGCACATGCCACCAAGCCCAGCCGATTTTTGTATTTTTTAGTGGAGAGGGGGGTTTCACCATGTTGGCCAGGCTAGTCTTGAACTCCTGACCTCAAATGATTCACCTGCCTCAGCCTCTCAAAGTGCTGGGATTACAGGCGTGAGCCACCGCGCCCAGCCACCCCAGAGTTTCCTGCTGCCCCTTCATAACCTTTTTTCCTGAACCTTTGCATCTTCCTTCGCTGCCTTTTCCAGGCAATCTCTGATCTTTCTGTCACTATGCATTAGCTTGCCTTCTCTAGTATTTTATATAAATAGAATATATAGTACATATTATTATCTGGTCTGGCTTTTCTCACTCAGTGTAATTATTTTGAGATCCATCCATGTTGTAGCATGTGTCAATAGTACATTCCTGTTTTATTGCTGAGTAGTATTCTCTTGTATTGATAAATCTACTGATGGGCATTTGCATTGTTTCCAACATTTGGCTATGACCAATCATGCTTTTATAAATATTTGTGTCTAAATATTTGCAAGAACATATGTTTCTATTTCTCTTAAATAAATACCTAAGAGTGGAATGGCTGGGTCATATGGTGGATGAATGTTAAACTTTTTATGAGTTAGCCAAAAGCGTTTCATAGTGATTATACCATTAAACATTCCTACCAGCAGTCTGGTAATGTAAACTATTACAACCACTATGGAAAACAGTGTGGAGATTCCTTAAATAACTAAAAGTACATTTATCATTTGATCCAGCAATCCCACTATTAGGTGTCTACCCAGAGGAAAAGAAGTCATTATACAAAAACTATATTTGCACACGCATGTTTATAGCAGCACAATTTGCAATTTGCAAAAATATTGAACCAGCCCAATGCCCATCAATCAACAAGTAAAAAAATGTGATATATATATATATATATATATATATATATATATATATATGAGTACTACTCAGCTATAAAAAGGAATGAAATAATTGCATTTGCAGCAACCTGTATGGAATTAGAGACTATTATTCTTAGTGAAGTAACTCAGGAATGGAATACCAAACATCATATTTTCTCACTCATAAGTGGGAGCTAAGCTATGAATATGCAAAGGCATAAGAATGATACAATGGTGCCAGGCACTGTGGCTCATGCCTGTAATCCCAGCACTTAGGGAGGCCAAGTGGGGTGGATCACTTGAGGTGAAGAGTTTGAGACCAGCCTGGCCAACATGGTGAAACACTGTCTCTACTAAAAATACAAAAAAAAAAAAAAAAAAAAAAAAAAAAAGGCCAGGCATGTTGGCACATGCCTGTAGTCTCAGCTACTTGGGAGGCTGAGGCACAAGAATCACTTGAACCTGGGAGGTGGAGGCTGCAGTGAGCCAAGATCACACCACTGCAGTCCAGCCTGGACAACAGAGTGAGACTCTGTCAAAGAAAAAAAAAAAGAATGGTACAGTAGACTTTGGGGACTAGGGGAAGGGATGGGAAGGAGGTGAGGGATTAAAAAAAAAAAAATTCCTACCAGCAGAGTATGAGAGTTCAAGTTCCTTCACAACCTTATTAACACTTAGAATGATCAGTCTTTTACATTTTAGTCATCCTAATAAATATCTAGGTGTGTAGTTGTATCTCATAGTAGTTTTAAATTGCATTTCCCTAATAACTGTTGATGTTGAGCCTTATTTGCTATCCATATACCTTATATGGTGAAGTGTCTGTTCAAAGAGTTTTTTCTCTTTCTTATTGGGCTGTTTGTATTAAATTTAGGGAGTTTCAGAACATATTCTGAATATACACCCTCATCAACTACAAGATTTGAAATTTTTTTTCTTAGTCTCGTAGTCTTATCTTTTCATTCTCTCAACAGTGTATTTTGATGAGCAGGTGTTTACTGTGTGTTGAAATTCACTTTATTCTTATTTTTTCTGGATCATGCTTTTGGTGCCATATCTAAGAAATCTTTGCCTTTACCCAAATTCACAAAGATTTTCTCCCAAGTTTTCTTTGAGAAATTTTGTAGTTTTCCATTTTGCATTTAAGTCTATGATCCATTTTGAGTTAATTTCTGTATATAGTGCAAGTTATGGATTAAAAATTCATTTTTTGGCATGTCTAACTTCTCCAGAATAATTTGTTGAAAAGACTACCCTTTTATGCTGAATTGCCCTTACACCTTGGTCAAAATCAGTTGTCCATATATGTATGGATCCATTTCTGGACTCCCTATTCTGTTCCTTTGATCTATGCCTGTGTTTTTGTACCAATTCCACATCATTATGATTATTGAAACTTTATAAGTTTGAAAGAAGGTAGTGTTAATCTTCCAACCTTTATCTTATTTTTCCATTATTTTGGCTATTTACATCTTTTCCATTTCCATATAAATTTAGAATCAGCTTGTCAATTTCTACAAAATCTTGCTTGGATTTCTATTGAGATGCTGAATCTATTTATGGATCAAGTTTTGAATTTTTTGACATCTTAGTAACATTGAGTCTTCTGACTCATGAACACAGTATGCCTCTTCAAATATTTAGGTCTTCTTTAATTTTTTTTAGCAATGCCTTCTTAGTTTTAACTGTAATATTTTTTCACATATTTTGTCACACTTATTCTTGAAGTTGTTTATTTATTTATTTTTAAACTTTTATTTTAGGTTTGTGGGTATATGTGAAGGTTTGTTATATAGGTAAACAAGTGTCACAGGGGTTTGTTGTGCAGGTTATTTCATCACTCAAGTATTAAGCCCAGTGCCCAATAGTTATCTTTTCTGCTCCTCTCCTTCTTCCCATCTCCCCATTCATGTAGACCCCAGGGTCTGTTCTTTCCTTCTTTGTGTTATAATTTCTTATCATTTAGCTCCCACTTGTAAGTGAAAACATACAGTATTTGGTTTCTTTTCCTGAGTTTGTTTGCTAAGGCTAATAGCCCCCAGCTGTATCCGTGTTTCCACAAAAGACATGATGTTGTTATTTTATAGGGCTGCATAGTATTCCATGGTGTATATGTACCACATTTTTTAATCCCACCTGTCATTGATGGGCATTTAGGTTGATTCCATGTTTCTGATATTGTGAATAGTGCTGCAATGAACATTTGCATACGTGGGTCTTTATGGTAGAATGGTTTATATTCATCTGGGTATATATCCAGTAATGGGATTGCTAGGTCGAATGGTAGTTCTGCTTTTAGTCCTTTGAGGAATCATCATACTGCTTTCCGCAATGGTTGAACTAATTTACACTTCCACCAACAGTGTATGAGTGTTTTCTTTGCAACCTTGCCAGCATGTTATTTTTTTGACTTTAGTACTTTTAAATCTAAAATTACAATTGCTCATTGCTAGTGTATAAAACTGTCATTCATTTTTACATATTGATTTTGTATCCTGAAACCTTGTTAAATTTACTTGATGATTCTGGAAGTTATTTTGTAGATTCAGTTGGGTTTTTTTACATAGACACTCATGTGATCTAAGAATAAAGATAGTTTTACTTCTTTTTCCAATCTAGATGTCTTTTCTTTAATGTCATTTTTCTGCCTTATTGAACTCATAAAAACTTTAGTACAATAGAAATGGCAAGAGACAACATTTTTGTCATTTCTGATTTTAGTGGAAAAGCATTTAGTCTTTTTCTGTTATATATGTTTTCATAGATGCCCTTTATTGGGTTGAGAAAGTTCTCCTGTAGGCTTAATTTGTTGAGAATTTTAAATCAACAATGGTGCTGTATTTTGTCAAATACTTTTTTGATGTCTACTGAGCTGATCATATCATTTTTCTTTTTAAGTCTGTTAATATGGTGAATTACATTGATTAACATTCACATGTTAAACCAGCCCTGTCTTTGAGGATGCACTCGACCTAATCCTGATTTTTTTCACTTGATAATGTTGTTGAATTTGTTTTGCAAGATATTTGTTTAAAATTATTCCATTTATGCTCGCAAAGGATACCGATTTGTAGTTTTCTTGTTTTGTAAAATCTGGTTTTGGTTCAGGGCAATACTGACTTTATAGAGTGAGTGGGGGAAGAAGACGCTCCTTTTTAATTTTCTGGAGGAGTACGGAATTGGTATATTTTATCCTTAAAAGTTTGCTAGAATTCACCAATGAAGTCATCTGAGCTTAGAGTTTTCTTCTTGGGAAGCTTTTAAACTTCATATTCTATTTATTTAACAGGTATAGATTATTTAGGTTATCTATTTCTTCTTGAAATCTTGTTTGTACCTTTTAAAGAATTTGTCAAAAAAATTTAAGTTTTGACTTTTTTGGCATGAAGTTGTCATATACACTAATCATCCTTTTAATATCTGTGGCATCTTTAGTGATGTCACCTCTCTCATTCCTTATTGGGTGATTTGTATTTCCCTCTCTTTATGATCTTGCTAAAAGAGTGTCGATGTTATTGATTTTCTTAAAGAATAAGCTTTCAGTTACATTGATTTTATATTTTATTTCATTAATTTTCCTTCTGATCTTATTTTCTTTCTTTTACTTACTTTGGATTTAATCTATCTCCTTTTTCTAATGTGTTAAGGTAGAAGCTGAAGTCTTGGACATGTGATCTTTATTTTTTTAAATACAGGCATTTAGTACTAAAAATTCGTCCCTCAATATTGCTTTATCGGCATCTCACAAATTTAAGTCTGTTTTACTCCTGTCTTCATTCAGTTCAAAAATACTTTCTAATTTCCCTTTTGATTTTTTTGAACCATGGGTTATTTTAAAGTATATTATATTATTTTGCTCTAAATATTTGGCGATTTCCCAGGAATACTTCTGTTTGTTTAAAATTTAATTATGCTATGGAGAGAACGTATTTTGCATGATATGAATCCTTTTAAATTTATTAATATTTGTTTTATTGCCCATAGTATGACCTGTCTTGGTCAATTTCCCATGTGCACATGAAAACAGTGTATATTTGTTGTTGTTGGGTGAAGTGCTCTATAAAAGCAATTAGGTCAGGTTGTTGATAATGTTGCTCAAGTCTTCTATATTCTTACCAATTTTTCTGTCCTTTTATTCTATCATTAATTATTGAGAGAGTTATTAAGATATCTGACTTAATGGTACAATTTTCTATTTTCTAATTTTCTATTTTTTGATTCTGATTCTATATAGTTTGTGCTTTATATATTTTGAAACTCTGTTATTAGGTTCATAACTGATTGTATGCTCTCTAAATAAATTGACACTTTTATTATTATAAAATGCTCTTTATCCCTGCTAATTTTCATTGCTCAGAAATCTACTTTAATTGGTACGAATATAGCCATTCCAATTGCCTTTTGATCCGTGTTAGTGTGGTATAATTTTTGCATCATTTCAGTTTTAACCTATTTGTTACTTTATGCTTAAAGTGAATTTCTTATAGAAAGCATATAGTTAGGTCTTAATTAAAAAAATACAATCTAACAATTTTTGCCTTTTAATTGGGTAATAAGATAATTTACGTTTAATGTGATTATTAATTTGAGTAGGTTTAAATCTGTCATCTTGATACTTGTTTTCTGTTTGTTCCATCTATGCTCACTCTTTCCTCATTTTCTGCTTCTTTTTGGATTAATCAAAGTAAACAAATCTTTATGATTGCATTTTATCTCCTTTGTTGGCTTACTTACTATAATTCCTTGTTTAGCTATCTCAATGGTTGCTTTAGGGTTCTTTAACTTACCACAATTTTTCAAGTTATATTATACCTCTTTACATATAGTATAAGAACTTGCAATTGTGTACTTTGATTTCTCCTCTCCAGTTTCTGCTATTTTTTCGTTAATCTTACTTTTACTGATAGTATAAACCCCTCAATGCATTACTATTGTTTTTGTTTAGATAGTCAATTATCAAAAAATTTAAAAAGTTAATTATCTTTTAGAGATACTTAAATAATTTTTAAAAATTGTATATGTTTACCCATAAATTACTCTTTCCAGTCTTTTCATTTCTTTTTATAGATTCATATATCTGTCTGTCTAAAACTTCCTTTAACATTTCTTATAGTATGGGTATGCTGGTGATGAATTCTTTCCGATTTTTTATGTTTCACCTTCATCTTTAAAATATGTCTTTGTTGAATATAGAAATATAGGTTGACCTTCAGTGATAGAAATCTGCTGTCATTCTTGTCTTTGTTTTTCTGTACATAATGTGGCTTTGACAATTCAGTAATGATGTTTAGGGCTTGGAGTTAATTTAGCTTCTTGAATCTATGGATTTATAGTTTTCATCATATTTGCAAAATTTTGAGCTATTATTTCTTCAATTTTTTTCTGTTCCCCTTTGCTGACTCTGGGAACTGTAATGATATACATTTTAGACCACTTGAATTTGCCCCATAGCTAATGGACACTTTGCCCATTTTTGTTGTTGTTTTTACTGTTTTACTCTGCATTTCATTTTAAATTGTTTCTTTGTTTTGTCTGTAAGTTTTCTAGTTTTTTTCTGCAGTAGTGAATCTGCTGTTATTTCCATCCAGCGTATTTTGCATCTCACATCGTAGCTTTCATATTTAGAAGTTCAATTTGAGTCTTGTTTATATATTGTATGTCTTTACATAATTTTCTAAACATATGGAATACAGTTGTTATAACTGTTTTAGTGCCTTTTTCTTCTAATTCTAATATCTGTGTCAGTTTTGATCTTTTGTTTGATAGTTCTCTTTATTATGGGTTATATTTTCCTGTTTCTTTGTATGCCTGATCATTTTTATTGGATGCCAGATATCATGAATTTTACCTTATAAGATGTTAGATATTTTTGTATTCCTATAAATAGTTTTGAACTTTGTTCTGGGACACAATTTAGTTAGTTAAAGAGAGTTTGATACTTTTGGGTCAGGTGTTTAAGATTTCTTCTAGATAGGACCAGAGCAATGCTTGATCTAAGGCTGATTCTCATGATTGAGGCGAGATCTTTCTGTGCTTTCTATCCAATGCCATGAATTATGTGATTTCCAGTATGGCTGGTGGGAAATGGCACCATTCTTGGCCTGGTGTGAGAACTGGTCACTGTCACCTCTAGTCATTTTGAGTGGTGCTTTTTCTGTCCTTCAGTATTTTCCTCACATGTATGTGTGATAATAATTTAGTGAATACTTTGAGAAAAACACCTGTTAAATCTCTTTCCCTGTAGCTTTTCCATCTTGGTATACTGTCTTGAGAACTCTAGCTACCTAGTCTCCCAATACTACCAGACCAACTCAACTCGAGGAGTCTGCCAGCCTCTGCCTGGGTTTGCTTTTTTTGTATCACAGTCTGGAAAGTCTCTAAGGACAGTAGGAAAATTGTCGAGCTTACCTTTTCTTTCTTGAGTTACCTTACCTTTCCTGTCTCTCGGGGATCACTCTTTTTTGTTGATGATGTCTAGTCTCTTGAAAGGTAGTGTTTCAAATATTTTGTCTGTTTTATGGTTGTTTCAGTTAAGAGGGTAAATCTGGTCCCCATTACTCTATCTTGGTTGGATACAGTAATATCCAGGTTTTGCATTCTTAACGATTTTTAAACAATGATTTTAGTGAGATTTCAATAATATGTTATCAAGAATTATAAAGTGATCTCTAAGAGCTGTTAATTATAATTTTAATAAGAACAGAAACGGCATGGTATAGTATACACAAATAGGAGCAGCTTAGGAGGTATGTTATTTCAGTAAAAAGAACACAGAAACAATAATAGAAATATCTGGTTCTTCAACCCACTCTCCCATTTATTAGCTTGTGACCTTTTAAGCTTTCCATTTTTCCTTAATTTTCTTATTTACAGAAAAAAATTATTATACCTATTCTATCTTCTTCACAGAATTGTGGCAATCATTGAGATGATATATATAAAATTACTTTGAAATATCATTTTATGAAAATGTGAGATATCTTTAAAAGTTATAAAGTTTAAATTTTATGAAATATCTATCAAAATATTTTTGTAATATATAATCCATGTATATTTCCTATATCATTTATAGGTTTCACAGGAAAAGTCCATAATATGAAAACACTTAGGGTCCTAATGGATTATAAAATCACCATATAACTATATTAGAACATATTTGTATGTTTAATTCATTTGAAATTATTTAGATTTCTATTCTCTTTAATACACATATATTCCTATCTTTCATGATTTTGTCTATATAATTCAATAAATAGTAATAGCATTTTGAAAAGGAAAGAAGCCATATTTAAATGACAGATCTTTTTACAGTATTGGTTCCAAATTGTGGGACCTATTACTTTTAAAAGCATAACTTCAAACACAATGCTAAATTTGCTTTAAATATAACTATGGAATTATTGAAAGTAATCTTTTCATTTGTATCAAAGATGAAAGATGATTTGTGATAATGCATAGGCTATTTTCCTGTCATCATAATTGAACTTATTCACTAAACTGAATTAACAACCAAGAGATGATCAGGGAGCTTGCCCACTGGCATCCTATTACACATATAACTAGTGATAAAAATTTTAGAATGCAGCTTATGCTGTGAAAATACTTTTGCTTTTACAAAATGCCATATGCATTCATATTTTCATGTGAATATATTATTATAAGATCCTGGAATACAGTTACTCTAATTTAGCCAACTAGGAATAAAATTCTGACTTGGTAAAACTTATTCATTGCTCTGTTTGCTTAAATTAATACTAGTGGTAAAGATCTATCTTATCCAGTTTAGGAGTTCAGCCTGTAAGTAAGACAAATTTGAGTTGAGATATTGGTTCCAGTAATAGGGTTGCCAGATGAAATACAAGATGCTCAGCTACATTTGACATTCAGATGAACAACAAATAATTTTTTGGTGTACGTATGTTCCATGCCATATTTGAGACATACTTATACTAAAAATATTCATTTAAAAAAATCTGAAATTCAAATGTATCTGGGCATCCTGTATTTTTTATTTGCTAAATCTGGCAACTCCATCCTCCATCATTCACCAGCTAAGTGTCAATTCACTTTATTCGTTGACCATTTTAGTCCCTGGATTTAAGTAATTCCCTTCAAAACTAGTTCTGTCTTGATGACTTCAGTACTGCTATATAATATTTCCAGTACTTTGGTCTCTCACTTCTTCTTTGATCTCTTTTCCTCCAGAGACCTTGAACTTTATTACATTAGTCACACTTCTACAGGATTGTATTCTAGAACTTATCATTCCAAATATATACACTTCCTTTATAATCTTTAATTTCAAGCCTTCCACTCTCCAACCAACCCTTCCTAATTTTCTAGTATACCTCTTTGAAGATCCCAACTCCAACATTCATTCTTTTTGCTCTACAACTCATCGATTCTTCCCACAATTCATAGATTCTTCTACCATTTCATTACCTTCCTCCTAGGTGTTCTTAATCCTCTCCTTATTCAGTAGATAGCACAGTCCTCCCTGATGGTATAGAATTATTAGTATACAAAGCCAGACTACCTGGCTTGTAAAAGCATTTCCCTGCCTTCACCTTCTACTAGCTGTAAACTCCAATAAGTTATCAAATCATTCTGCATCAGTTTACTATTAAATTGCAACAATAATAGTTAGACATACCATATTAGGTTATTATGATGAATAAATAATTTATATAAGATACTTAGAATGGCTCCTTTCTGGTACACAGTATGCATTTGTATTAGTCTGTTTTCTGTTGCTTATAACAAAATATCTCAAATGGAATAATTTATAAAGAAAAGTAATTTATTTCTTATAGTTCTGGAGATTGAGATGTCCAAAGTTGTAGGGCCACAAGTGGTGAGAACCTTCTTGTTAGTGGAAATTTCTAGAGAGTCCAGAGATGGCACAGGATACCACATGGAGGGAGGCTGAGCATGCAAATGTGCTATCTTAGGTCTCTCTTTCTGTTCTTAAAAAGCTGCCTGTTCCCATGATAACCCATTAATAACATGATAACCCATTAATCCATTAACCTATTGACCCATTAATCCAAGAGGGCTCTGCCCTCATGATCAAATCACCCGTTTTCCACCTCTCAATACTGCCACTTTGGGAAATAGGTTTCAACATGACTTTTGGAAAAGACATTCAAACCGTATCAACACTACACTATAAGGCTAGCTTTTGTCATCATCAGCAGCAGCAGCAGCATTATTATCCTCAAAAATGTCCAAATGCCTTTGTTCACACTCTCAAATCCTTTCTCCACAAACCCCATTTAAATCCAACTGTATGCTGTATATGCACAGATAAACTAGAGGGGTTTCACATTTGATTAGTAACTGTGAACCTCAAATTCGTCCTTACTGCTGCCTAGAAATTCAATTGCATGTCCAAGATTCATTCCATCTCCCCTTCACAGTTTCTCTTTTCTCAACAACTTTGCTTTTCTCTCCATACTTATATATTCTTCACCAAGGAAATGTAAGCAGCCAGGAGAGATTAACCCATTGTTAACCTTCCATGACATTTCTTTCTTTCTTTTTTTTTAAATGGAGTCTCGCTCCGTCGCCCATGGTGGAGTGCAGTGGCAAGATCTTGGCTCACTGCAAGCTCCGCCTCCCAGGTTCATGCCGTTCTCCTGCCTCAGCCTCCCGAGTAGCTGGGACTACAGGTGACTGCCACCAAGCCCAGCTAATTTTTTTGTATTTTTTTAGTAGAGACGGGGTTTCACCGTGTTAGCCAGGATGGTCTCGATCTCCTGACCTCGTGATCCGCCCACCTCGGCCTCCCAAAGTGCTGGGATTACAGGCGTGAGCCACTGCGCCCGGCCCCCATGACATTTCTTAGTAGGAGTGTGTCAGGTAGTCACACTCTGTTAAATACTTAGATGTTGCTGGGCACGGTGGCTCATGCCTGTAATCCCAGCACTTTGGGAGGCTAAGGTGGGTGGATCACGAGATCAAGAGATTGAGACCATCCTGGCCAACATGGTGAAGCCCTGTTTCTACTAAAAATACAAAAATTAGAAGGGCGTGGTGGCATGTGCCTATAGTCCTAGCTACTCGGGAGTCTGAGGCAGGAGAATCACTGGAACCCGGGAGCTGGAGGTTGCAGTGAGCCGAGATTGCGCCACTGCACTCCAGCCTGGCAACAGGGTGAGACTCCATCTCAAACAAACAAACAAACAAACCAAACAACTTAAATGTATTTTTGTTTCTTTTCTTTTTCTGCCTGTTATTTGCAGGTAAAGCAACACTGCTTTTAATATGTTGTATTTGAGAATAAGAAATGGCTTATATTTAACACATTTTGATAAATGTAAATAAATATTTCAAATTTGATCATAGCTTGCTTAGTGAGATTTGCAAGATGAGAATTTCTTATTTTTACTAAAATCCACTGACTCACAGCTACATTCCTATAATCTGAGTCTGCTCATATCCTCAGGCTCCCCTTGTTTTACGCTGAATGAGCTCTTGGTGTCTCTACCTTGACCAATCCCCTCATTTGCCCCTTGCATCTCATCCCCTCCTGTCTGATGGATATCTAGTAGGCACCTCAAAGTTAAAACGTTTAAAAACCATGCTTCTGATTTCTCTAGCAGATTACCCATATCAGGAAATGGGAGTTTCATCCTTACACCTTCTCAGAACAAAGGACTTGAGTTCTAGTTTCCTCTAACAATGCATATCTTCTGCATAAGGCCCTGAGAACCTGTGGCTCACTAAAAGTTACTTACCTAATCCTTAGTTTTATTATCTGAAAAAAGTAGATGATAACATAGTACCTATCAAAAATTCTGAGGAAAATTAAATCAATAGTGCATGAAAAGTACTGACCACAGTGTCTGATATAAATATTCAATAAATGTTTGTAGCTATTTTTACTATTATTGATACTACTCTTTCCTCCTCCTCCATGAAATAGATCTAGATTATGCTAATATAGATTCATATATATGTGTGTAGATACATAAGCACACACATGTACCTAAATATAAATTATAAAATGTTTAAATCCCATCAGATATATATTGACACAAAATATGATATACCATTTGTTCCAGTTCTGTGGCAGAACAATTCTTGTTGGATTGCTCATGTGAGGTTTGTTTGAGAGGTACCTAGAACACCTCATCATGAGAGAGAAATGGTGTAGTGTAGTGCTAAGAGTTCGACTTCAGCCAGACTTCCTGAGCTTGAATTTTGCCTCTAGTATGATACTGATGACTTGAACTCTTATCCCTCAGTTTTCTCATTTGTAATATGGGGATTAAAATAGTACCTCCTCAAAAGGTTATTCATTCATTTATTTAATTATTATTTTACTTTAAGTTCTATGGTACATGTGCACAACGTGCAGGTTTGTTACATATGTATACATGTGCCATGTTGGTGTGCTGCACTCGTTAACTCGTCATTTACATTAGGTATATCTCCTAATGCTATCCCTCCCCCTTCCCCCAACCCCAAGACAGGCCCCAGTGTGTGATGTTCCCCACCCTGCATCCAAGTGTTCTCATTGTTCAATTCCCACCTATGAGCGAGGACATGCGGTGTTTGGTTTTCTGTCCTTGCAATAGTTTGCTTAGAATGATGGTTTCCAGCTTCATCCGTGTCCCTACAAAGGACATGAACTCATCCTTTTTTATGGCTGCATAGTATTCCATGGTGTGTATGTGCCACATTTTCTTAATCCAGTCTATCATTGGTGGTCATTTGGGTTGGTTCCAAGTCTTTGCTATTGTGAATAGTGCTGCAATAAAAATACATGTGCATGTGTCTTTATAGCAGCATGATTTATAGTCCTTTGGGTATATGCCCAGTAATGGGATGGCTGGGTCAAATGGTATTTCTAGTTCTAGATCCTTGAGGAATAGCCACACTGTCTTCCACAATGGTTGAACTAGTTTACAGTCCCACCAACAGTGTAAAAGTGTTCCTATTTCTCTACATCCTCTCCAGCACCTGTTGTTTCTTGACTTTTTAATGATTGCCATTCTACCTGGTGTGAGATGGTATCTCATTGTGGTTTTGATTTGCATTTCTCTGATGGCCAGTGATGATGAGCACTTTTTGATGTGTCTGTTGGCTGCATAAATGTCTTGTTTTGAGAAGTGTCTGTTCATATCCTTCACCCACTTTTTGATGGGGTTGTTTGATTTTTTCTTGTAAATTTGTTTAAGTTCTTTGTAGATTCTGGATATTAGCCCTTTTTCAGATGGATAGATTTCTTCTAGATTCTCTAGTTCATTTGCATAGAGGTGTTTATAGTATTCTCTGATGGTAGTTTGTATTTCTGTGGGATCAGTGGTGATATCCCCTTTATCATTTTTTATTGCATCTATTTGATTCCTCTCTCTTTTCTTCTTTATTAGTCTTGCTAGCTGTCTATCAATTTTGTTGAGCTTTTCAAAAAACCAGCTCCTGGATTCATTGATTGTGTGAAGGGTTTTTTTTCGTGTCTCTATCTCCTTCAGTTCTGTTCTGATCTTAGTTATTTCTTGCCTTCTGCTGGCTTTCGAATGTGTTTGCTGTTGCTTCTCTAGTTCTTTTAATTGTGTTGTTAGGGTGTCAATTTTAGATCTTTCCTGCTTTCTCTTGTGGGCATTTAGTGCTATAAATTTCCCTCTACACACTGCTTTAAATGTGTCCCAGAGATTCTGGTATGTTGTGTCTTCATTCTCATTGGTTTCAAAGAACATCTTTATTTCTGCCTTCATTTCGTTGTGTACCCAGTAGTCATTCAGGAGCAGGTTGTTCAGTTTCCATGTAGTTGTGTGGTTTTGAGTGAGTTTCTTAATCCTGAGTTCTAGTTTGATTGCACTGTGGTCTGAGAGACAGTTTGTTATAATTTCTGTTCTTCCACATTTGCCGAGGAGTGCTTTACTTCCAACTATGTGGTCAATTTTGGAATAAGTGTGAGGTGGCACTGAGAAGAATGTATATTCTGTTGATTTGTGGTGGAGAGTTCTGTAGATGTCTATTAGGTCCACTCGGTGCAGAGCTTAGCTCAATTCCTGTATATCCTTGTTAACTTTCTGTCCCGTTGATCTGTCTAATGTTGACAGTGGGGTGTTGAAGTCTCCCATTATTATTTGTGGGAGTCTAAGTCTCTTTGTAGGTCTCTAAGGACTTGCTTTATGAATCTGGGTGCTCTTGTATTGGGTGCATATATATTTAGTATAGTTAGCTCTTCTTGTTGAATTGATCCCTTTACCATTATGTAATGACCTCCTTTGTCTCTTCTGATCTTTGTTGGTTTAAAGTCTGTTTTATCAGAGACTAGGATTGCAACCCCTGTTTTTTTTGTTTTCCATTTGCTTGGTAGATCTTCCTCCATCCCTTTATTTTGAGCCTATGTGTGTCTCTGCATGTGAGATGGGTCTCCTGAATACAGCACACTGATGGCTCTTGACTCTTTATCCAATTTGCTAGTCTGTGTCTTTTAATGGGAGCATTTAGCCCATTTACATTTAAGGTTAATATTGTTATGTGT
This sequence comes from Homo sapiens, assembly GCF_000001405.40. Lineage (NCBI taxonomy): Eukaryota > Metazoa > Chordata > Mammalia > Primates > Hominidae > Homo > Homo sapiens. Next base: position 116,049,119 of record NC_000007.14, on the reverse strand, counting down.
GAATTTGATCCTGTCATTATGATGTTAGCTGGTTATTTTGCTCGTTAGTTGATGCAGTTTCTTCCTAGCATGATGGTCTTTACAATTTGGCATGTTTTTGCAGTGGCTGGTACTGGCTGTTCCTTTCCATGTTTAGTGCTTCCTTCAGGAGCTCTTGTAAGGCAGGCTTGGTGGTGACAAAATCTCTCAGCATTTGTTTGTCTGTAAAGGATTTTATTTCTCTTTCACTTCTGAAGCTTAGTTTGGCTGGATATGAAATTCTTGGTTGAAAATTCTTTTCTTTAAGAATGTTGAATATTGGCCCCCACTCTCTTCTGGCTTGTAGAGTTTCTGCTGAGAGATCCACTGTTAGTCTGATGGGCTTCCCTTTGTGGGTAACCTGACCTTTCTCTCTGATTGCCCTTAACATTTTTTCCTTTATTTCAACTTTGATGAATCTGACAATTATGTGTCTTGGAGTTGCTCTTCTTGAGGAGTATCTTTGTGGCATTCTTTGAATTTCCTGAATTTGAATGTTGGCCTGCCTTGCTAGATTGGGGAAGTTCTCCTGGATAATATCCTGAAGAGTGTTTTCCAACTTGGTTCCATTCTCCCTGTCACTTTCAGGTACACCAATCAGATGTAGATTTGGTCTTTTCATGTGATCCCATATTTCTTCAAGGCTTTGTTCATTTCTTTTTACTCTTTTTTCTCTAAGCTTCTCTTGTTGCTTCATTTCATTCATTTGATCTTCAATCACTGATAACCTTTCTTCCAATTAATCAAATCAGTTACTGAAGCTTGTGTGTGCAACACGTAGTTCTGGTGCCATGGTTTTCAGCTCCTTCAGGTCTTTTAAGGACTTCTCTACACTGGTTATTCTAGTTAGCCATTCGTCTAATCTTTTTTCAAGGTTTTTAGCTTCTTTGTGGTGGGTTCGAACATCCTCATTTAGCTCGGAGAAGTTTATTATTACCAATTGTCTGAAGCCTTCTTCTCTCAGTTCGTCTCCATCCAGCTTTGTTCCATTGCTGGCAAGGAGCTGTGTTCCTTTGGAGGAGAAGAGGCGCTCTGATTTTTAGAATTTTCAGCTTTTCTGCTCTGGTTTCTCCCCATCTTTGTGGTTTTATCTACCTTTGGTCTTTGATGATGGTGATGTACTGATGGGGTTTTGGTGCGGATGTCCTTTCTGTTTGTTATTTTTCCTTCTAACAGTCAGGACCCTCAGCTGCAGGTCTGTTGGAGTTTGCTGGAGGTCCACTGCAGACCCTGTTTGCCTGGTATCACCAGTGGAGGCTGCAGAACGACAAATGTTGCTGCCTGATCCTTCCTCTGGAAGCTTCGTCTCAGAGGGGCACCTGGCTGTATGAGGTGTCAGTTTCCCCCTACTGGGCGGTGCCTCCCAGTTAAGCTACTTGAGGGTCAGGGACCCACTTGAGGAGGCAGTCTGTCAGTTCTCAGATCTCAAACTCTGTGCTGGGAGAACCACTACTCTCTTCAAAGCTGTCAGACAGGGAGGTTTAAGTCTACAGAAGTTTCTGCTGCCTTTTGTTCAGCTATGCCCTGCCCTCAGAGGTGGAGTCTACAGAGGTAGGCAGGCCTCCTTGAGCTGCGGTGGGCTCCACCCAGTTTTAGTTTCCAGACCACTTTGTTTACCTACTCAAGCCTCAGCAATGGTGGACACCCCTCCCCCAGCCTCACTGCCACCTGGCAGTTCAATCTCAGACTGCTGTGCTAGCAGTGAGCGAGTCTCTGTGGGTGTGGGACCCTCCGAGCCAGGTGCAGGATATAATCTCCTGGTGTGCCGTTTGCTAAGACCATTGGAAAAGCGCAGTATTAGGTTGTGTGTGTCCCGATTTTCCAGGTACCCTCTGTCATGGCTTCCCTTTGTTAGGAAAGGGAATTTCCTGACCCCTTGCACTTCCCGGGTGAGGTGATGCTCCGCCCTGCTCCATGGGCTACACCCACTGTCTGACAAGCCCCTGTGAGATGAACCTGGTACCTCAGTTGGAAATGCAGAAATCAGCTGCCTTCTGCGTCGCTCACACTGGGAGCTACAGACTGGAGCTGTTCCTATTCGGCCATCTTGGAACCAGGTTATTCATTTATTTTATATTTGAACAGTGTTTACTGGAGTCACTGACACAAGTAAATGCTTTCTAAGTATTTATCATTTTTGTTTTTATTGTAATAAAATGGTATTCTCCCTGAGAGGGTTTTAAATAATAAATTCAAGGGATTGTGTTACAGCTCACCTCTCTGGTGAGAGAATATGGGAATCATTTATCATAACAAAAATTATAAATTGTGGCATGATTTTGCCCATTTTTGTATATACATCTTTCTGAAACAAAAGGGTGGACATTAATTATATGTTGTGCAGTTAGTTTTGTGGTGAAGTACAGTGGGGAGTAAGCTGACCCAGTTCCTGCCTTCTTAGAACTTACGGTATAAAACAAGTATAAAGCATCACGTAAATCACTATATGCCTAACTATTTCTTTTCTTTATGATATTCATGTTGGATTAAGGCTTGGACCAATTTTGTAGCATTGTAGGTTATATTATTTCATTTTCACACTGTTGATAAAGACACATCTGAGACTGGGAAGAAAAAGAGGTTTAATTGGACTTACGGTTCCACATGGCTAGGAAGGCCTTCGAATCATGGCAAGAGGGGAAACGCAGCAAGAGATAAAATGAAGAAGAAACAAAATGGAAACCTCTGATAAACCCATCAGATCTCATGAGACCTATTCACTATCACGAGAATAGCACAGGAAAACCGTCACCCATTTTTCAGTTACCTCCTCCTGGGTCCCTTCCACAACATGTGGGAATTCGGGGAGATACAATTCAAGTTTAGATTTGGGTGGGGACACAGCCAAACCATATCATTCTGCCCCTGGCCCCTCCAAATATCATGTCCTCACATTTCAAAACCAATTATGCCTTCCCAGCAGTCCCCCAAACTCTTACCTTATTTCAACATTAACCCAAAAGCCCACAGTCCAAAGTCTCATCTGAGACAAGGCAAGTCCCTTCTGCCTATAAGCCTGTAAAATCAAAAGCAAGCTAGTTCTTCCTAGATACAATGGAGGTACAGGTATTAGGTAAATATAGCCATTCCAAATGGGAGAAATTGGCCAAAACAAAGGGGTTACAGGGCCCATCCAAGTCAAAAATCCAATGGAGCAGTCAAATTAAAAAGTTCCAAAATAATCTCCTTTGACTCCAGGTCTCACATCCAGGTCATGCTGATTGAAGAGTGGGTTCCCATGGTCTTGGGAAGCTCCGCCCCTGTGGCTTTGCAGGGTCCAGCCTCCCTCTTGGCTGCTTTCACCGGCTGGCATTGAGTGTCTGCAGCTTAAGCTGCCAATGGATCTACCATTCTGGGGTCTTGAGGATGGTGACCGTTTTCGCACAGCTCCACTAGGCAGTGCCCCAGGAGGGACTCTGTGTGGGGGCTCAAACCCCGCATTTCCCTTTCTTACTGCCCTAGCAGAGGTTCTCCTTGAGGGCCCTGCCCCTGCAGCAAACTTTTGCCTGGGCATCGAGGCAATTCCATACATCTTCTGAAATCTAGGCAGAGGTTCCCAAACCTCAATTTCTGACTTCTATGTACACGCAGGCTCAACACCAAGTGGAAGCTGCCAAGGCTTGGGGCTTCCACCCTCTGAAGCCATAGCCTGGAGCAGCTGGGACACAGGGCACCAAGTCCCTAGGCTGCACACAGCATGAGGAAGCTTTGCTTCTTAGAAATGTCTTTTGCCAGATACTTTAAATAATATCTCTCAAGTTCAAAGTTCCACAAATCTCTAGGGCAGGGGCAAAATGCCGCCAGTCTCATTGCTAAAATATAACAAGAGTCACCTTTGCTCCATTTCCCAAAAAGTTCCTTATCTCCATCTGAGACCACCTCAGCCTGGACCTTATTGTCCATATTGTTATCAGGCATTTGGTCAACACCATTCAACAAGTCTCTAGGGAGTTCCAAACTTTCCCATATTTTCCTGTCTTCTTCTGAGCCCTCTAAACTGTTCCAACCTCTGCCTGTTAACCAGTTCCAAAGTCGCTTCCACATTTTCGGGTATCTTTTCAGCAATGCCCCACTCTACTGGTGCCAGTTTATAGGCTGCCAGTTTTTAGGACCCACTGGGATGCATTGGATAAAGGGGTACAGTTTCCTCAGGTTTCCCCACATCATTCCTTACGTAACTGGTGAAATCTAATTTCGTCCCTCTTCTAAAGTAGACAGTGCTTCTGAGTGGAAATAAATTTGGGGGAAAAAACCTCATCACAATGCTAGCCTGTCCCAGTGGAGTATTTTGCATCTTAAAGAGGCAGGTTACAAGTGGAACTACAGATTATGCCTCCCAGCCTGAGAAAGGCAGCTGGCAGATGCCTGCAGTCAGCAGGTGTAGGCAGTCAAGATGCTGAAGAAAAATGATACCCAGCATCTGGCTGTTGATTAGGAACCAGTGATTCACTTTATTACCTAACCATTAAACCCTTAAATGTACTTCCCAAGTAGTTGTCAAAAAACTGAAAAGAAAATAAAAACTAAAGAAATTGAAGAACATTTTGCTTATATAGTAGTCAAAAGAAAATAAACTTCTGTTCTGAAGTATGTATCACAAAATAAGTGTAGGTTAGTCACAGCTGTTCTTGTGTCTATAACACTGTGAAAAGAAATAATATTTCAAACAATTAAGTGTTATGTTCAAAGCATGTAATACTTTCTTATTTTGAATATAAAAAGGTTTATTGTTAGTAGTAAGAGCACGTGCCCACTCCCATCAAATACATTTTGTACAAATACCTTAAAATATCAATTAGAAAAGGGGTAACACATTATTAGCTTGCCTGGTAGCTATAAGACTTGCTCTGGCCATGACGAAGGATATGCATAGGAGAATTTTAAAATTCGTTTAATGGATCCCACTCCTGCCTTTCTTAGGGCAAGTCACTTTTATATTTAATATTCAGAGGCCCAAGTTTACAACTTCTGAGTAAAACTTAACATCTTTCACAGTGAAAGACTTAGATTCTAATTCTGCCATACATGTAGATGCTATAATTTCAGAGACTGTAGATTACTTTCTTATTTTTGAGAAAATAACTAAGAATTACATGGCAGCTGAGAAGCCCCATAAATTGAATCCTAGAGGCTTTGTAGTTCACATTCACAGGAGTGCCCCAAATTGGCACCCAGAAGAGTCTTCCTTTGTAGTGGTACTATTCTCACCTACACAATCTACCTCACTAATTGAAGAGCTCAATAGCATTTGGATCATTTTATGACCTGAAGTAGATTGAATATGCATAAGAAGCTGACTTTGGATTTCTCAGTGTATGTTAATCCATTATTAACCTTCCATGACATTTCTTGGTAGGAGTGCATCAGGTGGTCACACTCTGTTCAATACTCAGATGTATTTTCATATGTTTCTTTTCCTTTTCTTCCTGTTATTTGCAGGTACAGCTATACTGCTTTTAATATGTTTTATTTGAGAGTAAGAAATGGCTTATAGTTAACATATTTTGATAAATGTAAATAAATATTTCAAATTTGATCATAGCTCACTTAGCTTTGCAAGATGAGAACCTCTTATTTTTACTTAAATGCTTATGTACTTTACCCATGATTTAGTTCAGTATTTTCTAGCAACAATTGGATGACTGATACCTTTAAGAACTTTTTTCCATCCATAAGCTTATTCCCATTTGTATGACCTTTGCTTGTAGTTCATATAGGTTTAAAAAACTTTGGTCTTCTGTTTGTAGAGTGTGAGGCATCTATTATTAATGAAATATTGGTGGAATTTTTTTTCAAATTGTCTTGAGAGAATAATGTTCTCTTACTCAGAAAAAAAAGTCCTTAAGAGTGGAGTATTCTTCCAGGAAAATCATTATATCCACATATGTTCATAAGATACACTATTAAATTTAGTAGTCCCATCACATGTAAGCTTCAGATATTGTTGCTTTAATGCATTCCCTCACTACTTTGATAAAAGCCTTAAGATGTTGCCACTAGTTCTTTGATGATTTCCTCTGATGTTATAGTACCTCTCTTTCTACTCCCAAAAAACCTGTTTTGCATAAACATGAGAAGTCAAGGCAGTTTGAGTTAACGAGTACAAAGACTCAAGTTTTAGCAACAAAAGTACATGTATTTGTGATCAGCTCTCTCACATATTATTGTCATCTCTCTCAATGTAAGGAAAGTTTATTTTAGATTTCTGAAGAATATGAGTCATTAGCTTTAACAGAAGTCCAAATATGCTACTCAGCTTTATAATTTTGACGTTTATTCAGCAATTTCCCCATTGAATTAAAGAGATTTCTTAATGGAATTTAGAGGGAGAAGAGTCATATTGACCTAGATATTGACTTATTCTGATTCATTTTCCCGATCATCCCTGCCTGACTCCTGAATCAGTCCTGCATACTGTTGGATTCAGGCATGGAAGATTTTTTAAAAAATGTTTAGTTCAAGTTTCCAAATAATTTTGCCACAATTATGGTTAATAAAAAGTCATTACAGATTATTAATTATGTCCAAGGTTAAGTTTAATATTCCTGTAGGGATAAACTATTAACAAATTAATCGTGAATTCAAATTTGTCCATTTTAATTGCAAAGTTCTACTTTCAACTAAACACTTAATATTCAGAATTAAATAACATTAGCTCAACAACTCTGAACATACTCATGATATGGGATGTTACCTATCTCATATAACTTCTCTTTTCGTCAATATCTGGTCAAAATTATCTACAGTGTGTGTTGCCCTGAGCCTACATAACCCATTTAGTTGTTTTCTCTTCATATACAATGCAATTCTTCTAACGCTTATGCTGTATTATATGTATTCTAAAGACAAGAATGTTCTTCCATGGCTCTATTCTAGAAAAGAGTGCCATTCTACTGACTCTCAGTGGTAACTGTGGGATTGCATTTATCTCATTGTGCTAGAAATGTCATTTTCACTTTTCCATCTATACTCTGTGAATTGATTATATAGATGTCTAAAATCTAACTGTGTCACCTACATTCACCTGTTTTTTTTTCTTTAAAATTAAGGTTACTAGGCACCACTTCCACCACTGTTTTTTCCCTGTCACACTTGTGTTTTTCTAATGCTTGATTTGTAGCTTTGTATCAGATTGTCAGCAGAAGGTGAACAATTGTAGGTTTGCATATTGTGTGAGAGATGCATCTCTCGCCCTTTGTTTTGGGAACTGGCTGATCATGCAGCTCTGTCCTGGAAGGGTTAGAGTCACCAACAGCCACAATGTTTGCATGTGTGCATGCGTCTGTGCGTGTGGGTATGTGCTGTCTTTGTTTCAGACCTGTGTCTGAAACAGGAAGAGCATCACAAGGATTATAAAACCTGTGAAATCTCTGGGTTTTTCAATCTCTGCCTGCTTTCAGTTGAAATCAGACAATGAAGTAGAGTTTTCTACGTGATTAGCAAGATCTATACACAGGAGAAGAGAATTACTTCTGAGCACACCATTACTTGCCACAGATTTTCACATATACCAGTGTGGTCACTGCTAATAACCAGCTCTTGATTTCTCTTGTTTCAAATTGAAATTTTTCAAGGGGTTAACTTTTCCAATTTTCTAACCTTGAAATTTCTGAAGTGTATTACCTGTTTTTTGTTTTGTTTTTTAAATCACTGCGTTCCATAACATATGTAAGTGAAATCTCCTGGCACATAATACACATGCCCAAAATTACTTGAATCTGGAGCTGATATTTCAATAGAATTGTGCTTATATTTTATAATAGTTGGCTTTCTCTCTCTAGCAGTTTTGTTGGAAGACTTTTTTTTTCTTTTTTTTTAATGCTTCCTTTCTTTTCCTCATTAGTTGTTATCAGCAAAACAAAAGGAAACGATATGGGAAATGCAATACATATAAATGTTATGTGAAAAGATAAGGCAACTCACATAGCTTACACCCAGTGTAATTAGTATGTTTCCATACTAGTCTATACCAACACTTAGTTATTTACACTGTGGGAAATAGTTCAGTTAGCAAACTTTTAACCGATCCTTTTCATCTCAGTGTCATGACAGGAGATAGATATTTGCAATGCATGAAATAAGTATTCTGGGAAATTAGGTGTTAATATTTCCCCGGCAGAAACTTCCACCTGACTACAACATATTTCATTTTAAATTTCTTAAGCTGTGACAGTATATCTAATTTATTTTGCTATTTGAACTCTGTCAAAATAAAAGCGAATAATCTAATGTTATTCTTTACCATTTGACGTAAGAATCACAATACACACAAATGCAGAGGCCATGCATGGAGTATAACAACTCATGGTTAAACCTTATCAGATGAGACCCAAATGGCAGAGATGGGGCTGGGAAAATGCTTTGGAGAGGAGACAGTTTCAACAGCCATGATGTTAGAAGCTAGGCGTTGTGCATGTGCATTGCATTTGCCAGGTTCAGTGTCATTGATCTGGGCACTTAAAGCTGACCAATACAATACTGTGTAATTTGGACATTATGATAGATTATTAACCTGGAGAGATAAAATAAATTAAAATGGAGCACTAAAAATGCTATTGTAAAGCAAAAATAATATTAAAATATCAAATATTTGCAATTTCTATTTTATGTATCACTATAAACATTTAAAGGAAGGGATATCTGAAATGCCTATGTGATATTTATTTTGGCTTCTCTCTTCGAAAGCCAAAGAATATCTTTTATGAGATAAAAAACTTGTTAATAGAAAATGTTAATATATCACTTTCTAGTTATATATGTGTGTGCATATATTCACTTTTTAAGCTAGGAAATAAGAACAAGTGTTAGCTACTTCCTAAAATACTATCAATTAAAACAAAAAGAATATTCCTTCCAATGCAATCATTTTCTTGGGATTTGGTGACAACTTTTATTGAAGTACTATGAGTCTTTTATTTTCCTTTGTTTTTCCTATGTTTATTTTCCTATGTTTTTCCCACATAATGGAGCAATCACTGACCAAAAGGTTTCAGGACACCATTAACATTTCTTGTCACCAAGAGTATGAGTTATCCCTAAGAAAGCATTTTATACTTTGTCTCTCTCTCTTTGTCCAGGTCACATCTAGATTTTTTAGATTATTGCAAAGTATATCCTGTCTTACTTGAGGAACAAGGGAAACTTACCCCAGTTCTCCTCTTTTATCTAATTTTGCTTTGTTGGATTGTAGTTTCATCACAGTTAAAAATATCAACCAAAAATTATAAATTCAAACAAGAAGTGTGCATTGATGATTCTTTTGTATTGAAGGACTTTTTTTAACCTCTAAAAGAATAAAATAACTCAAAATGGAGTTTTATATTAAAGGGCGTTTTTTAACCACCAAAGGAATAAAAAAACTCAAAATAGGAAATGTAAAAATATTTTAACTCATTTCTTTTTTTCTATCTCTCTGGTTTTATTACCCTTTCCAAGTTTTATTTCTTTAATAATAATTGTACTGTTATAGTTATTAGTTTCCTGGAGAAAACTTTCTGTTTGCTTGTAGAAAATTTGTGAAATGTCTCTGTCGTAGTTTGATGTTCCTCTGAAAGACGACATTTTTCTCCTTGCAGATAGATTCTGGAAGGTGCTTTTGGCATATATCTTGAGAACAAGAATCATAATACTGATGAACACACACACACACAGACACACACACACACACACACACACACACAGAATTTTCTTTTGTTTTAGTTTTTATCCCCAAATCATGGTTATCAAAGTTATTATCATCTTCAACTATCTGCCTACTCCCTCCTTTCTTCCTATAATTTTTCTCTTTTTTCTCTTCTTCTTATTTGTACTTATAGTAAAATGGTTAAGGATACAGTTTACAGCTTATTATTTGATGGACTGAATTTATTTCTTATATGACATTATAGAAAAACTAACTTTTATTAACAGTGATTTCCTGGGAAAAGTTGATATGTTAAAGATATTTAGCAGAATGTCATAGTCATTTGTCCTATAACATATTCTAGTCCTCACTTAGCATATAATTGGGTTGCAGGTTAATTTCCTTTGAAGGAGGCATAACCATGGACTGCTTTGGCCAATGAATGATGGATAGAAGTGATGAATGTCACTTCCTGCAGGACCTTTAAAAATCTGTATATGGTTTTCCACATCCCGTTTCGTCTCTCAGTAGTGCTGAAAGCATATTTGGAGATGGAGCCTCCATTATCCTGTGTCCTTGAGTAACTATGAGGAAAATAACTTCCCCACTAATCTACTTTGGACACGTAGAGAATGAAGTAACATTTTGTTTTTAACACTATATGTTTATATGGAGTTGTTTGTTACACCAGCATATCCTATCCTACCCTGATAGAGAGGAATGGTACAACTTTGGCAGGCTCTAGAAGACTTGTAATTTCTCTAATCTCTAGGAAGCTACAATGTCAATCATGAGACATGCCATCTCATTGGGAACATTCTAACATTACAAAGGAAGAAGCTTTACTTTCATCTCTTTTATGCTCTCTAGTTTGAATATAGCATGCTAACATGAGATGGTAGCCTCCATGAAATATTTTTGATTTTTGAAATTTCATACATAATCTTCCTTTCCCAATTTTAAATACATCTTTCCTTCTTTACCTTCAGGATACATTATCTTCCAAATGCAAATGCCTTTGGGAAGGAGAATATTTTAAGTCTTATCAGTCGTTTATGCCTTAGTGAGTAAGGTATGTAATGAATTAGAATGTTTTCTAAAAATAGTTTTAGGTAGTGGCAAAAATGGGGAAATGATAAGGGATCATGGCACCTGTCTGGCAAAAGGGAAAAGGACACAGAGATTGCATGTTAAAGACAAGTTTTGCCTACTTCAAAATTTTTAGATGGACTGGTTCTTTGTTTAATACTCTAGTGTATGCCAAGATTAAATATAAGCTCTAGAGAAATTTTAGTCCTTGGTATTATAGAAGAATTAAATTACATTAATGCCTTAAAGGTTTCTAGAAACTCCTTGTTCTTATAAACTGATTTGCAGGGGACAGAAAACTTGGGAAAGTCATATGATTCTTTTGATTGATTTTACCCATTTCTCAAAGAGCAATGATAAGTAGATGTACTTCTGCTGACTGGTGAGATATTGATGAGTTGATGTTTCTGAAGCTCATCGAGATAGATGAAATGCGTTTTAGCAGTGAAAAAGTACTGCTTTTGCAATTGTATAGTGATATGCACATTTTAAATGTGTTCCTCCACACTTTTGCCTGACATGCTTCTTGTTAAGGACATAATAACTTTGGTAGAGTAAAACCTCATGCAGTTTTAAAGATATTTCAAAAGTTTACTAATATTATGCTTACTAGTATGCTAATGAAATAGTAAAAATCTTGGTAAGTTTCAATTTTAGTCTTTTAGAGGGATGAACTCCTATATTTTAGATAATTTGTAGTTATTAAATGCTATTGGAAGCCAAGGCCAAATTTGACATTTAATGTTTGTCTTAAAGTGTTATACAGGCAAAATCTGGTATTATTGCATAAAAGTAGGAAACTTTCACTTCCTAATTTCTTCCGCATTTCTCAAACTGGTAATAAAATCTGACTTTTGAATAATTAATGCCAATTATTTGCCAAGAGACTCAATTATAATATTAACAACTCTAAAGGTACAATTCTGATCAATGAGTAGCATAAAAAATCCAGTTCTATGCACCCATGTCTGATTTCGTTTTCTATATGATACTGATTTTGGACTTTATTTCTAAATTTCTTAGGAGACATAGATATTTTCCTTTGCCTTAGATTTTTAGGAGGGAAGCTAAGTTTCTTCAGATTTAACAGATTAGAAGTTTTCATAAATAATGATTGCCTTTAACTGGCCCACTTGTTGCTAACAGAAAAGACATTGTTGTAGGCATAAAGACCCTCAACATCCCGTGCACAAAATCAATTGCCGTTAAAAAGATTTGTACCAGTAGCCTTTTATTTTTGAGACTTCTGTAAAAGCAATCTAATGTAACAATAAATTATTCTTTCTTTTTTGAAGGACTAATATGAGATCTTCTCCTCTACTATTTATTTACTTGCAGAACGACTTTCTGAGTCCATTTCCAAAAGTGCGTTAGCTGCCATTTGGCAAATAACATTTGTTTCTGCATTATTTGCTAATATTTTAAACTTAAATGTTATCTATTATCAACTGTTGCCTTAGTGGCCAACTTATGTTTGACTTTGGAAACCAAGACAACCTCTACTTTCATGGTATTTCTCATTCCAACATCCTGGGCCTGGCCAAAAGTCAGATATAAGGAAAACAATTCTTTTATTCCTGATACCAGTTTTTGTTTTCTACTTTATATATTATCCCATTAAATTACTTTTTTTATTATGGATTAATTTAAACCATGGGTAATTTATCTTTAAAAATTGATTAGATTTTAAACTCCTTGAGGGTAAAGGCTAGGAGTGTTTAGCTTTGTATACCTACTGCCTGACAGATGGCAGGTATTTAATGGAAGCTTATTAATTAATGAATAAATAATTACAGCATTAGTTTTGATGGGAACACTAATGTAAAGAACATTAAGGCATAGTGTTTAATATATACTCTCTACTATGTGACAAGACCAATTCACATGCTGATGGTATTTGGTCTATATTGTCATATCCCCTATATCATTTCAGTGAATGACAGCTTGTTTCAGAAAGCTAGCACTTTTAAGTTTTGTCAGAGAGCTGCTTTCTGCATGATATGAACTACTTTGCCCATTTGCAACTTGGGAAGCATGTGCCTGGAAATTAATGTGTTCGTGAAGGCAGCCTGAAACCAGTGACTGACAAGTACTGGAGAGTGTAAATACCCTAGCTCTTTTCCTCTCTGCCTGGGAAACATCTGAGGCATGCATTTTACACAATTTTCAGTGTGATAAAACTAAGACAGAACTATAACACAAAGAAGAAAATGTTATGGTCCAATTCCAAAATAAGCACATTTTCAGGATAGAAGACAAATGAGGCAAAATAATCGACAATACAGTATAACAATTATCTATATATTATATGTTTTTAACATATGGAAAAATATTTTCCCAGTTTTGGTTTTGTGAAATTTAAAAATAATTATTTTCTTAGAGATTTAATATTTATGTGGCCAAAATTTGTATTTAGTGATTTTTTTTCTCCACTGTGTGGATTACAAAGTAGTCACATATTTTTCTGAGCCACATTTAAAAATTTTTATGTTTAAATCTTTAAGGTATTTGAAATTAAATTCTTGGTAATCAGAGGTACGGATCTTTCTCTTTTCCATTCTCTTTCTCTCTCTCTCTCAACAAATTATTAGATATTTGTCCTAAAAGTGTTTATTAAGAAATATATTTATTTCATTCTGATGTGAAATACAACCTTCAACAATGTGCTAAATTTCTAAAAATGCAGAAGGTTTTCACTTTCTGTCTATTATATATTAGTAGTAAGCTGTTTTAATTAGCATAGTCTTATCGTGTGTTTAATATTTCATTTTTCAAATCCTTCTTTACTTTTTTAATTTTCAAAATATTTTGGCTATGCTTTTTCATTTATTCTTCTTGGTAAATATTAACAAATGTACCCAATGGAATAAAACTATAATTTTGGTGGATATTATATTGACTTTGCAACATTTGAAGAGAATAAAAATGTTAACATTAATGCTTATAAAAGAAATATGTGTAAAGTGTCCTCAGTTCATACACATACACACAAGAGCCCTTAATTCTGTATCTTTCAAGGAAAGTACAGACAGGAGGTCACGTATGATCTGGACTTTGAAGAGAGGAGCGTCCTGCAGGGGGACATTGTAACCTAAAGAAAGTGAGAATGTATTATGGTAAAGCTTGAGATTCAGACTCAGATTTAGTTGAGAAGACATTTATGAGTGATCCTAGAGAATTTGGAGTCAAAATTTAGGCAGTAGGGAATTTTTTTATGATTATAAATAAAGGGAATAAAATTTAGAAAAATCACACATTTAATCATTTAGTGATTAGTGCTTAGGATATGTCCATCAGCAAGGAGATGGGGATCCTGGTCTTCGTGAAGCTGTCTTTCCAATGAATGATTGAAATTAAACAGAAAACCTGGTAGGTCATGGGGTCTATGGAAAAAAGGACAAGCAGAGTAGGGTAAGGAGAATAAACAGTTTCAGTGGGGGAAGATGGGGGAGACAAGAGAATGGTGGAATTTCAGACAAGTCAGGAAAAACTTCATTCAGAAGTTGATATTCCACAAAGAGTTAAAGGAGGTGTGTAGGCCTAGGACCTTAGACACCATTTTAAGGAATTGGAATGACTTAAGTTCTTCCTCTGAGTATGAGGAATGCTTTGACAAAGTTTTGAATAGAAAAGCTACATGATCAGCTTTGAGTTTTAAGAGAACCACTCTGGTTGCTGTGTGTGTGTGTGTGTGTGTGTGTGTATGCATGCCTGTGCGTGTTAGTGTGTGTGTAACAGATAGAAGGAGGGAGAGCAGGTGTAAGGTCTTTGCGGCAATCCAGGTGAGAGATGAGGTTAGCTTTGACTCAGATAATAGCAATGGAAGTTGGATGAGGCAGATAAATTCCAGGTGGGTTTGAAGGTGAGCTCACAGGAGTTACTGATGGACACGTTGAAGGGTATAGAGAAAGAGAGGAGTGAGCTGGAGGGATGAAGATGGTGTTAATCTAGTTGGGGAAGGCTGCAAGTGGTGCATGGTTGGAAGAGAAGATTTTGGTTGTCTGTAACACAGGAAAATGCAAACATAGAGTAGGTTGTTGGATATATGAGTATGGAATTCAAGAGAGATATCAGGCCTGGAAGTATGACCATGAGAGTCATTAGCATATAGATGATATAAAGTCATGAAAGTACATGATATAGCCAAGGTAATGAATATAGCTAGGGTAGGGGAAAGAACAGGCTGAGACTTAGGACATTTCACTATAGAGAAGAGAGGAAACAGCAAAGGAGACTGAGAAGAAATACTCAGTGATATAGGTGAAAATTTGAGTCTGTAGTGTCCTGAAAACCCATAAAAAGGGCATTAAAGGCAAAGAGAATGATCACGCATTCACTGCTGATAGGGAAAGTAAGTTGGAAGTGAGAACTGACCATTTGATTGGCAAGACAGAGGTCATTGCTAGTCCTGACAAGGTCAGTTATGGTGCTCTGGTGGAGCACAAAGCCTTACTGGAAGGAGCTTAAGAAAGAATGGGAAAAGAGGAATTGAAGACAGTGAGTATTGATAGCTCTTTTGAGTTTTTCAAAAAGGGCACAAAGAAATGGAGTAACATCTGGTGGGAGAAGTAGGGTTCAGAGAAGATTATTTGTTTTCCTTTAGGTGGGAGAAAGAACACTTGCTTGTATTCTAAAAGGAATGATCTGGTTGAGTCAATGTTTGGCACTGTAGATTACAGGTGAGAGGAGGGCATTGCTAGGTGGTGGTCTTGGGTAGTGGGAGGGATGGGATCTGGTATAAATGGAGAGAGCTATTCTCTGCATAAGATGACATATAATTCATCTATGATAACAAATGGGAGTATTTGGGTACTGGTACAGGGAGTGGATAGACATGGAGGATGGAGAATGGCAGGAATAAAGAAATTGACAGAGGCAACTGAAAAAAGGAAGAAAATGGGTAAAACTCACATGGCATTTATTACATGCCTGGCATTATTTAAACAATTTACTTCTATTATTTATTTAATCCTCATACTAGCCCTGCTCTAGGTACTATTAGTTTCTCTGTTTTACAGTTGAGGAGACTGAGGCAAAGAGAAGTGAAGTATTTTAACCAAGGTGCCATAGCTAGAAAGAGGTAGAGCTGGGAGTTGAGACCAAATCAGTCTGACTCTTAACCAAATTCCTGCAGCCAAGCACTTTGACACATTTCTTCTTTGTGAGAAGAATTTCAGGCATAGAATGGCCAGAACTTGACCATTTAAATGCGAGGAGTGAGGATACATCCTCAGAAACAAAGATTTTTTTTTTTTTTGATGAATCATGAGAAGATGTCTTGCCCTTTTCTTTGTCACGTGATTAATTAACTGAAATGCATCTTGCAGGGAGTCTGTAAACATCAATCAGGTAAAGACAGAAGGTAAGATTTAAATTATATCAGTTATTTATAAGATCTCCCTCATTCTTGTCATAAGGGAGCAGATAATTTGTGGTAAAATTATTTTGTGGCAAGTAGTATACTATACTAAAAGTTTGGTTTATAAACTATTTTTGAAATGAAAACTATATTTTATTAGAAACGACATGCATGATTTTTAAAAATTTTTAACTATTATTTTAAGTTCAGTGATACATGTGCAGGTTTGTTACATAGGTAAACTTGTGTCATGGGGGTTTGCTGTACAGATTATTTTGTCACCCAGATATTAAGCCTAGTGCCCATTAATTATTTTTCCTGATCCTCTCACTCCTCCAGCCTTCCACCCTCTGATAGGCCCCAGTGTGTGTTGTTCCCCTCTATGTGTCCTTGTGTTCTCATCATTTAGCTCCCACTTATAAGAGAGAAGATGCAATATTTGGTTTTCTGTTCCTGCATTAATTTCCTAAGGATAATGGCCTCCAGCTCCATCCATGTTCCTGCAAAGGACATGATCTCATTCTTTTTTATGACTGTATAGTATTCTGTGATGTATATGTACCACATTTTCTTTATCCAGTCTACCATTGATGGGCATTTAGGTTGATTCCATGTCTTTCCTCCGTGAATAGTGCTGCAGTGAACATACGTGTGCATGTGTCTTTATAATAGATTGATTTATATTCCTTTGGGCATATACCTAGTAATGGGATTGCCAGGTTGAATGGTATTTCTGGTTTTAGATAGAGGAATTGCCACACTTTATATAAAATATAGAAGCAATAGATAAAAATGTAAAAAAAGTAACTACCCGATTATGCCACCATTAAGAAATAACTGATATTAACAAATAGATGCTTATTCTTTCAGGTGTGAATATGTATCTATGTGCATGTTTCCAACTTTTGAAGCCCACATAGTAATACAGCTTTAAAATTTACCTTCTGAAGCTCGCAAATGTATTTCATACAAATACATTAAATATGTTAAACATGTTGTATCATACAAATGTATTAAACTCTAATTCAATCTAAAGTATTTTCTAATGAGTTAAAATCCCAAATATTTTCTTTTCTCACAATGTTTCTAATATCAATGTTGTTTATTTCTAATACTAACCTAAATAAATTGATTTTACACTTAATTATTTACTATTTCCATTCACCTTAGGAGATTTAGATGTATGATAAAACAACCAGAAAAGGTAAGGTGACTCAAAAATGTGCTATTGATAGTGACAGAACAATTTTTTTACTTAATAGCTTTGAAGTTCTTACAGAAGATATAGTGCTGAAATATTTTCATATAATCTCCACTTCTTGACAAACACAAATGTCAATTTAATTGCACAATTTTTAGATCACAAAGGCAAGAGAAATCTGAATGTAACCTTCACATTAAACTTCAGTAGCTTGCATAAATGCCTTGCTTTGCATATATTTTTTAAAATATAGGTAAGACAAGAAAGTCATGTAACTGTTACAAGAATGAATTCAGATTTTCACAGTGTGAATTACAGGGTGGGAACAAAGTTGTACCTTTCCATTTTAAGTTCCTGAGATACCTAACACATGAAATGAGACCTCTTTTATCACATTGGTAAAGGCATGAGTATCCTATATTCATGTCCCTTAAAAATACAAATGAAATTGGGATGTAAATAATAATTATAAGACAAAGAAATCTCATAAGCTGAACTGTGTATTTTTAATCTACATGGGAAGATAAAATATTCTTGGACAAGATAAAAATTATCCTGGGGTCACTTTAGGAGTAAAATCATATGTAAGAAAAATGTAATTATAGAAAATATGGAAAATGCAATGGCCTTAAAAACTCAAAATCTATTAATGCTCTAAAGAAATGTGCAATTCCTAAAATTGAAAAAAAAATGATGCAGGTCAATTTGTTGAAGAAATGTTCATTGTGAAACATAACATGTTGCAATAAATGTAGGATCTCAGTCCATTATGATAACAACCATGTACTGCTTGTGTATATTCTGGTAAGAATTGTTAATTATGGAGCCACAATGGGACCAACAAGAGCTTTTACTGTGGCCACAGTATTGTGGAGTAGTTTTCTAGGAGTGCTCTTTCTCAAATTAGTGGCATATTTCAGATAAAGAAAGGAAGTCGTCTTAACTTGAAACTGCTGTGTCATTTCTTCTTCCTTAACTGAAATTCCAACCAGGGTTCAGGAAATGCCCTAATGAGCCACTTCTCTTTTCTCTTTCCTCAACTAACTGGATTCCAACCAGCCCAAAGTATTCATTACTCACGGCTAGATCGTTTACTTTGGTTGTCCCTTCTGGCATGGTGCATATGTTATGGGAAGAGGGATTATAATTTGGTGCTGTTTGTAGAGATGACAACACTGATAAAATCCACTCATTGCTGGTAGGTAACTAAACCGGCAGGTTAATTTTCTGTACTTTAAACAAACTAGGAAGACAAACTAATCAATACTTGTTTTATTTTGATATGTGTGGCTTGCTTATAATTATAATTTCATCTTTTATGATAACTAGGTATCAGGATATCTGAGTAGTCAAGTTGTGATTTGCTATTATTTGGGGAAAATATGTCTGAAACTCTATTAATGTCTTATTTCAACCAAGATGTGGAAATCACTGTTTTAGTTCATGGTAACCAAAGTTATTTATTTTTCAAGTTTAATATTTTCAGATATTTACTAAATTGGAACATGATTTAACATTTTGTTGCCTCTTATATATGTTATTTTATGAGTAAATATTAATTTTTGTTTACATTTGAGCAATATCTATTTTATTGGCTTTAAAGGTAAGAAAATATGAGCTCTATTTATAGCAAAATAGTACCAGATAGTATATTAGCATATATTCTTATTCCAGGACTAAAAATTAATTCCTATTTTTATGTAGATGTGGATCTAAATAGCTTGTGTAGAAGATGTCAAGTATCCCAATGCAACAACCTTTTTTTGAGATGGAGTCTCACCCTGTCACCCAGGCTGGAGTGCAATGGCGTGATCTCTGCTCACTGCAACGTCTGCCTCCCGGGTTGAAGTGATTCTCCTGCCTCAGCCTTCCAAGTAGCTGGGATTACAGGCATGCGCCACCACACCTGGCTAATTTTTTTTTTTTGTATCTTTAGTAGAGACGCAGTTTCACCATGTTGGCCAGGCTTGTCTTGAACTCCTGACCTCATGATCTGCCTGCCTTGGCCTCCCAGCAATTACTTTTTTAAAGTAATAGTTTTCAATTGTAATAATCAAAAGAGTTGTAGTAGAAACTTTAAGATTAAGATACATATGAAGATATTTATACACATGTACATACATATATATATGCTGTATATATACATTTGCTTATATAAATTACAATAGATATAATTTCATATATATTTATATAAGTTATAACTCCATACTTTCAATATTGTCTTAGAATATTTCACTGGGAATATGCATTTTAAGGGAAGGAGAAACCTGAGGTAATTTCAAATTCATTTTGGATAGTTTATAAGAAACTTCATTTAACTATAAGAGTGTAAAATAACCTTCATGATTCTTTCGTATTCAGAAAGTGTGTCAGCACAGCAAAGTGAAATGGTACGCAGTTTATTATCAGCATTATTCGGACAATTCTGCTTCACTTCTATTTTAGATGAATCTGAGTGTAGCAGTGCACTTGCAAGTATCTTTTAAATTTATGTTAAATATTTTACTTTTGGATGGAAGCTACTTTAAGTAGGCTAAACTTTAAGATCTCCTTTTAAGAAGTTTTTTTAAACTTTTTTTTTTAGCTCTAAAACAAATGGAATACATATAATTTTCATGTCTATTTCCTTGGTTTGGGTTATTATTACTTTTTTTTTAAGTTTTCAATTTTATTCCAAAACAGTAGAATAGTTCAATGTAGTACATTTTGTTGAACTGAAACTTGGAGCTCATGTCAAAAATGAAACAAGCTGAAAAATGTTTCTTAAAAGTCAGTTTAATTTTAACGACTGCGGCATAAGGTTTGTTGTAAGTTCTAGATAGCCCAAAATAATTACAAGACATTTAAATAAGGTACAAATTTGTAGCATAGTGAAATTTTCAGAAATACTACTAACTTATATAGTGGAAGTAAAAATAGTTTTGAAAACAGTGGTTTGAATAGTCAGAAAGGAGAAATAAGGAAAGAAGAAACTGAAAGAAACAAAATATTCTTACACAATGGTTTTAGATAAACTAGTGAAATATAACTCAAATGGAATCATTATGGCTGTTGATATTTTCCATAATAGTGGAAAAGCAATCACTTAATCTTTTATAAATCGTTTTACAAATAAAGCTATCAGATGTCAATTAGACATTCCAGATTCTTCATGGAGATGAAAGCTCTTACAGTAAAAAATACTGGATTATGATATGGAGTGATAGCAGATCCAGAAAGGTGGTGTTTACAAATAGGTTGCTATTTTGAACTATTTGTCAACAAAATAAAACACATGCATAGTGCAAAGCATGGTTCCTGCACAGATTTTACTGGGGGTGTTTACTAAGAAGAGTCTGGGAGGCATAGAGCAGTAGGAATGACAATCATCCCCAAAGTCATAACCTACGAAGAGAGAGGTTAACAGTAGTCTTGTAGGAAAAGAAAAACAGCAAGAAACTAATTTACGCAAATATTCCTTATTATATAGAATTGTGAATGCCAGCTAATTAGAGAAATCTGTAGAATTGTGTTGTGGGTGTTTGGAGATTTATAAAAATTTGGTGGACAATACTTTGCCTATGAGAGCTTAGCTGATGATAGATGGTTTTGTGATTCCATTAAATTGTATTTATTGGAGCATAAAAAGTCTTGGCCATTTACACACCAATAAATAAAGAAGAACAGGAGAATATTAGAGGTAGTTTATGTTAAATGTTAGGAGAATTGGGAGAATTCGTATAATTGAAAAAGTGAAATAGTAAGATAGAGATGTAGAATCTCCTCAGGTGACCAGGTTTAAGAATGAATTGGTCAAGGCGAGAAAGCCCTTGTTCCCAGTTTTTCAGTTGCTCTCAGGAAATAGAGGGAAGTTGAGCCTAATGATCTTAAAGACCCGTTAGGTTTCTGTTTCTCTTTTCTCTTTTCAGGTTTGAAAGAATAGGTGAGAATTTGAAAATCGATCTAAAAAAAGGAATTGAAAGGAGAGTCTAGGACGTAGAGGTGGAGTTTTAATAAGGATTCTCATGCCTCCTAATGTTCATTCCTAAGAGTTACCATGGAAGAGTATTTTCAAATTGTCTCTCTTCTTGAAACATGCTTTCTCAGTTTGCCACTGAGCCAGAGACTTCTTTTATACCTCCCTTTATTCCCTTCTTTATTCTTTCTTGCACAAACATGTTTCCAATGCTCAGCTTCCTTAGATGTATTTCCACCCAAGTAAGAATGTGAGCCTGCACATTTAAAAAATTTTTTTGAGACAGGGTCTCACTCTGTCACCCAGGCTTCAGTGTAGTGGCTTGATCAGGACCCACTGCAGCCTCGACCTCCCGGGCTCAAAAGAGCCTCCCGCCTCAACCCCCCAGAGTAGCTGGTACTACAGGCATGCACCATAATATCCAGCTAATTTCTTTTTATTTTTTTGTATTTTTTTGTAGAGATGGGGGGTCTCGCCATGTTGCCCAGGCTGGTCTCAAACCCCTGGACTCAAGTGGTTGCCTCAGCCTCTCAAAATGCTGGGATTACAGGCATGAGCAACCACACCCTGCCAAGCCTAGACTTCCTATCTGTTCAATCAAATATTTGGCTATATCTTGTTTTCCACTTGCAGCACTCATTCTATGCGGCATCTTTCCTCACGCTCCCAAAATCTAGACCAGTACCTACCGTATTATTGACAATCTGTCTATAGACAGGTATTTATCCCTGCCAATGTCTGCAGAGAACTTCTCAGGGGCTAATATGTTAACACTCTGTTCCCTTTGACCCTGTGTAGACTCAAATGGATTTGAACCTACTGAACTATCTGAGGTCTGCAATAGAAAGTTTGTCAGCAACATTTTCACCCCCAGCCTTTAAATTCTGGTAAAATTCTAGGCTTCTTCTTAATTAACATTTGGCTAAGAGGCATCTGATATTTTAGTAATACTCTCTAGTGTTTCTCCCCACTTAGCCAATCACTTTTCCTCTTCTACAGCTTATGATTGTCCTTCACATGTGCAAGGCAATTTTTATGTGATGGATGATCTGCTCTTTTCATCAGAATTGCACCTACTGTTAAAGATTTTTCTGTAGACATATTCAACCTTCTTTACTTTGTCATTGCTTTCAAATGTTAAAACATCTATTGCTTTTGTTGCAAACAACCATTTTTCTCTATTAACCCTTCTAATAGTGTTTGAAAAGCTCTGAGCATATCCACTCTTACAGTAGGAATAAGCCAGTGGATGAATCTGCCCAGTGACATGACTGATGACACCATTTTCTGGAGAAGGAAGAGAATATGTGATTTTACCTCGTTCAGTAATTTAATTAATATCTATGTAAGGTTAGTTAAGATGGAGGTGTACAAGTAGAGGAGGAGTGTACCTGGTGCGGTACTAGGTTCTGAGGATGCTAAGATGGATAAGGTATGCTACCTGCCAGTGAGCAGTTCAGGCATTTCAACAATTAATTACAGAGACAAATGTTACAATGAAAGTATATATGAATTATCTGCCAATCTGGAAAGGGTTCAAAGAGAAGATGGGTGAAGCATATCTTTAAAATGAATTAGCTATTCTTTAGGCAGGCGAAGGCATTGGGCCAAAAGGTCCAGTGGATCGAAAGACTAGCATGTGCAGAGTTGTGAAAAGCATGGCATATTCAGGGGTCTTTGATTAGAAGTGGAACCATTGTGTGAAATAACATGAAGTGGGGCTGAAGAGTTAAGGTGGGGGCAGACCATGAACAGCTATGCTTTTAAGAGTTGTTGGGTTTACCCAGAGAAGGAGCTTGATTTGATTATGTTTTAGCATATTTTGATTATGTTTAGTTTTATGTTCTCCAGCTCTGGCCATTTGGAAGACACATTAGAGGGTGAAAGACTGGAGTTATTAGTTTTAAATTTTTGTTGATAGAGTGTTTCTGTATCCGATTTAAGAGAGCAAAAATGACTGTATGTGGTGACTATGGGTAATACCTTCAAAATAGTTGTACCTTTGGCAAGAAGAGAGAGGCTGAAAAGATGGTAGAATGTACTTCATGAGAAAATTGAAGGTGATGTACTACTACATTTTTTACTGCAGCAATTCTCTCTTAAACTGAACATGGATTAGCAAACCAGTGGACTGAGCAAATATTTACAAGTGATCCAGTGATTTCTTTATGGTTGCTTGGTTTGATAGAACACACTGTGAAATGGGAAGTCAGAAGTTCAGCATTTTTAGCTTGCTACCAACTTGACATGTGACTATGAGTAAGTCTGTCTGTCTGTGTGTGTGTATTTCCTGAAGATTTCACATTGAATTAATATCTAGTGTGGAGAGTGAAAGGCTGGGGCTGGGCCTGAGGGTGAAGGTTGAAGTGTCTGGTGGTGCTTAAATCTAGGTCTCTTGTACCTGAAGAGCAGCTCTGAATTTGCTCCTGAGAAATCAAACTTGGGTTGGATTTAGGAGCTCTAAGATTGGAAATCTAGTTCAGAGTGCAAAGGAAGGACCTCTCTCCTTTTTCCTTTGAGGCCCTTCATCCCACATTTCTGAAAGATTTTCAGAGTACAGAACATAACAATGGGCCAATGTCTCATACATCTGGTCTTGTTTTCCTTAATATTCTCTCCTATTCAAACAGCCTCAGGGAAGCCTGCCTTAGGACAGAGCTTTTTAGAACAAAATGAAATAGAGGAAAAAGCAGCTCCTTGCATAATTTGAGAAGTAACTGTTAATTTGCCTTTTCTTCACAGGACATCTCTAGTGTTCCATATTTTCTCAAAATGTATTGCCAATTCATTTGCATCTCCATTTGTTTTTATATGAAACACTGGTTATACCGAGCTGTCTCTAAATTCACTTGGATTCAGGCCTAATGGACCACACTTAGTGAGATATATGACAGCTGATGAACAGTTGCTTAAGGGGTGTTTGTCTAAAGATGAAACAAACAAAACCATAGCAGCAACAACAACAACAACAAAAGAGCAAGCAAAGATATTCTGGAATATGATAGGAGATGGAAAAAATGTATAAAATAAATGGATAAGCTAAAACAAAATAGCAAGCAAAGATATTCTGGAATATGATAGGAGATGGAAATAATGTATAAAATAAATGGATAAGCTAAAACATGAAGTACTCTTCTTAACAGGGGGATAAAAGTGAGACCCTGAATGCTGAATATTCTTGCTTGAGTAGCAGTCATTTTAGAAGAGTTGTATTGAGTATCAAAACAGTATATTTTATGAAATATTCTCCTCTTCTTTGAAACAGGTGGTAATAGGAAACATTGATTGGGCTCTCCTTATGTACTAACGGCTTTACATGTATCATCTAATTTTTGTCTGACAAGACTCTTGGGGCAAGTAATGTTGTCTCCAGTGTTCAGAAAAGAAAACTGAGATTTGTGAAGGATAGGTAAATTTCCCAAGGTGAAAGCTGAACAGTGAGCAATGATTGGCCAAAGACTTAGATCTAGGTCTGGATGCTGTTTAGGCCCAGATGGATTATACAGTCTTTTCTAGGACCCTTTTAAATTTAAACTTTGTCTTTGTTGTTCTCTTTCATTCATTTTGAACAACCTCGCCTCTCCATAGGAGAGAAAGGGAAACAGTTCAAGGGAGAAGGGTAGAAGAAAATCAGAAATCACGGTTTTGCTAAAAATGGTTTCTAGGCTTACACATGGATAATGAGGCCTTTGACTGTATTAGATTTGCAAAAATAGTAGTTGTAGAGGTAACATGGGACCAGAAAAGATGGCTCTATTTCATAAAAGAAAGGGGCAAAGTGAAGGGACTCATTAATGTCGAAGCAGTAGATGGATAACCAGTGACAAATATCAAGTAGATTTGCTTCAGTTTGGTCAGAGAAAGGTCATTGATTATTTTTGGTTAAACTGGTTCACAGAGGCCAGGTCTCCACTAAAAAAGGGAATTAATTGCTTCCATTTCCCACTAATTGCCTCAATATTTCCCTTTGCTTTGTCATTGGAGATTTGGTCAGAGAGGCGAAAAGTCAAAAGTCAGAGTGTGATGGAATCTACATAAAAAGGGAATCTGAGGAGACCAAATTATGGCATTTGGTGTAATAATGATAATGATATTTAGCATTTTTCCCTGGGAGTGCTGTGGATTTTTAGAGCCCTTTTCAATCTTTAATCAGACCATAGGGCACATTTAAAAGAGTTCACTGTTTTTATTTCCATCTAGAGGATATGGCATCACAGAGAGATGAACTGACCTAGGGCAAGTCTCTTGAGATGTTCATGCTGTATGTTAGATTACACCCTCTGAGGGTGAGTTTTAGCGGGAAGCCTAAGTTCTTTCCAGAGGTTCAATTCATTCATGCTCCTTCAGAGTCTTTAGTTTTTTTGCACAATATTGTAAAAGAGTTCTATCTCTATCAATGACCAAAAAATCACCGAAGAAAACACTATGAAATCAGTTTGATATCACAATAGTTTCTCAGTTTTCAGGATACTAACTGGTGCTTGGACCATTTTCAAGTAACAAGACATTCTATCTTTATTTGCTGAATTAATCAGTCTTTGAATTCTTGTATACCTCTAAGTACTTTGGAATACATGAGTCTTATCTTTCAGATATTTTGTTTTATTGTTTTGAAATCCAAAGTGGCACTGCAGAAAGTGGAAATAAGATTGGTTTCTGGATGTGATAGATAAGTATTGAATCATTCTAGTTCTTTTGATTTACTTACAATAACTTCAGAGGCCTAATAGACAAGTGTCTCTCTTTAGGAAGTCATGAACTTACAATATAAACCACTCTTTTTTTTTTTTTTGCTGGAAGAACCAGAAATTTGTTATTGTTAATTAGCTATTTGTTATATTACGGGCTCTTAATAGATTTTAAAGCAAGCTGGTTACATTTTAATTTTAAAACCAGCTCTGCCATAATCAGCTGTTTGATCACAGACAGGTCATATAATTTGATTGAAACTCAGTATCTTCATTTGTAAACCTGATCTACCTCACGGGGTTTCATGGTTATTAAATGAGAAAGGGAGGGTAAAACGTATAGTTCAATGCCTGTATAGAATGGTAACCTGGCAACTTTAGCCTTTATGCTTTTTAGTGCTGCTTTTAAATAAATTATGAAGATATTAAAGATAAAACTATTAATTAAAGCAAAACTTAAACATAAGAGACCTGTAAAAAAGAAGTCGAATACATTACAAAATACTATATTTGAACAAGATGCTCTCATAGTTATGGTGAACTTGAACTGGGCCATGCCTCTACATAGCTAGTGTTCCTTACCCTGCCCTGTTGAAAATATTTTACTAACATTTAATCACTTAGTAATCAAAATAACTCTGAGAATTGAGTTGTTTAATTTTATTCATTATAAAGATAAGGCTACTTGACATCCAAGGAAGGAAATATGTGGCTCCAAGGCATATAGCTTGTCAGTGGGAGCCCAGGTTTGAAACTAGGTGGGCTAATTCCAAAATCTGCAATCTTAAATGCTGCTCAAACAATGCTTTTTAACATGCATTAGACTGCATTTCAAGGTTGTCATTTGTGAAAGCTGAGAAATTACATTGCCCTCACCCTCATTTTTAAATTAAGGGGATTCTTAAAATTTCTCTTTCTCTTGACAAAAATGGCTGTTTAAGAATGGAAAACCGCTGCCAACAATGGCATCAATGTCATCAAACCCTCCACTGAGTTCTAAGTGTCTTTTTATAAATCTCCAAAAATATGGTGAGCCCATTCCCTTATCTCTCCCTTGTTAGAGGACACATGTCTCAGACCTCTAACCAGGACATGTCAAGAGGTGGGCACGCGGGTACTTCCACAGTGCTTTTCTCCTGGCCACCCCTTCCCCTTGTGCCTTTCATAGCTCTCAGGCAGGGCCGATAAGCCTGTTCTCCCCAGTGCTGAATCTGAGGACCAACTCTGGGGGGAGCCCTTATTGTCAAACTAGTTGCTCACAACTTTCTTGACTTGTTTCTCTTAAACAATATGACTTAATAAAGCTCCCTTCAAATATATAAACAGAGCACACCTACTAAAACAGGAAGAGCTAAAACTGTATACATTGGAAACCTGGTTTGACTGTTCTGATGAACTTGACTGCTCAAGTCAGTCAAAAAGTAATTACCAGTTAAGAAAACCATTTTGACAGATTTTGGCCCACTGACTGCTTATTTGACTGGCTTGCCTGTCAGGTTGAAGTGGTCAGATTGACTGGAGACAGTTTAACTGGAAAATTTAACTTTGGAGGACGTGGGTGTCTGTATACCAGAATCTACTTTAAATAACTGTATTTGAAATCTATACCTATTTTCTTGGGACCAGTGAGAGAAGTCTGAAAGTGACACATTGCAGCTTTGACTTTCTGGAGTGAGATGTCTCATTGCTTGCTAGAGCTGACAATGTATTTATAGGCTACAACACCATCACATTTTTCCCCTGTGCATATACAGAGTTCAAGAAGTTTGAAACTCTACCCTGTTGTGGCCAAGTCCTAATAAGGCATTATCCTCTTACTCTTCTGAAGCACTGATAATAGATTTATAACAGCAAATGACTTCTCAGATATTGGGTTACCAATTCAGTCATTTGTAACTTGTGGTAAGCAAAGTCGACCTTGCCTTTAATGGTAGTGCTTTTTAAGAAGAAGCTATGAAAGAAAACAAAAACAAATCCCAAACAAAACCTTTTATGAGAGGAAAGAGAATTTGGTTGGAATTATTATTTGCATGGCTTTTTAAAAGGAAATGCTTTTATATATCAATTCTTATGTTCCTTTAGAAAATGTACTTTCATATAAGTTCCCAGGTTTGGGCAAGACAAAAATAACACCATAAGGATGGAAGGAATGATTTATTCTCACATTATAGTGTTGGATTTTATGAGGAGAACATAATGAGGTTATTGTCTGTTGTAAGCACATTTTTATAAAGTCTGTTTTATGTTGGCTGAATATTCTAATGTATTCATATTGAGAGTTTGAAAGATCCTGTTATTGTTTGAGAGTCTTATTCATGTGCTGCTCCTTAATTTGCCTAAAATTTTAACTTTTCCTGTGAATATGTTTTCTAAATGTTCAGGACTTAGATGCTATCTCCTGTACTTAAAAAAAAAAATCCAATGGTACGATTAGATAGATTTTAGGGCTACAGTGTCAATAACAACTTTAAAATAATGACACTTTTCTTAAAATTGCTAAGCAGTAATATTTTCTCTTAGAGTCACTTTACGTATTCTATTTAAAATTTTTGCTGTGTGATTACGACAAGGAAAGGAAACATGTTAGCTTTGCTTTGCAGGTTTATGCTTTCTAATTATATTATGATTGTTTTTAGCAAAGAAGCCCTTTGACCTGAATAAAAGAGAGAACTAAATCGAATCCCACAGTTTAAAGAATGCTATAGGGAGACCACTAGGGTATATATTTAAATTTTATGTGTTATTTACATTATAGAATCATTATTAATAATGTTTCAGCGATCATCTTGTTGCTTCAAATCTTTTACACATTCAGAACTATTTTCTTTAGCTATAAAAATGTACTGTCCAAATTTATCTCCCTACCAGCAACTCACAGAGCCTATTGGATTGCTCCCTCCTCTGCACAAGGTATTCTCATTTAGAAAAAAAATGTTAATTTGGAAAGCAAAAGCTTTGTTTTCATAATTACTAAGTGATTAGGAACAAAGACTCAGTAGTGAGTAGTGAGTGTGGATTTGAATTATCGTTTTGCTTCAGAAGTCCTTAACCTATCCTCTGGCCCCACTTTCTCAGGCATTATGTAGTATGTAGAGAATAAGGTGGCTCACCTCACTGGCTTGCTGTGAGGATTAAATGAAGCAAGGCAGGCAGAGCTCTAAATAACATGCCTGACACATAGCAAACTTTCAGTAATTATTAGCAATTCATGCTATTATTATTAATATATTTTTAAAATTGAAGAGTTCACCAGAATAGAAGTAGACTTGGTTTGATTTTTAGATTAAGCAAGTTATTGAAGTTAGCACACAAGTTGCTTAATCTCTCTGAGCCTTAGTTAGCTCATCAATAAAATGCATCAAATAAGGAATTCTAATCATAAGGGATCAGATAAGAGATTATAGAAGGGATTAGATAAGCCAGTGGTTAAGAAAGTGCTCTGTAAATAGCAA
This sequence comes from Homo sapiens, assembly GCF_000001405.40. Classification (NCBI taxonomy): domain Eukaryota; kingdom Metazoa; phylum Chordata; class Mammalia; order Primates; family Hominidae; genus Homo; species Homo sapiens. Next base: position 116,019,735 of record NC_000007.14, on the reverse strand, counting down.
AATACTGTATGGGTGTCTTATTTGTTCTTTTCACTGTTCTCTTTGGATTCTATTCCACTTGTCTGCTTGTTTCATAATCTTGGGGCTGTGTAGCAAAATATTCAGTTTCAATAATAGAGAACACTCACATAAATTGTGTCACCAGTGGTGAAAATTATTAAATGATGGAAACATTTAGAAACCAAATTATCTGTGCAATACATCACTGATTTTTTATTTAGTCTGATGAAAACATTGCGCTTAAAGTTAAGAAGATGGCTGCCATTTTGTCATTGTAAGATAGTGTGTAAGCCTTAAGAAAGAGGACTAAAACCATGTTGGATGCTGCAACCTTTGGGAATAATTTCCCATTGAGAACAGGAAGTATGGTTGGTAGACAAGTTTACCAATAAATCTTTTGTGATAGAATATACAAGCACGGACACTTATGAGAATGTTGAGTCATTCCTTTAGAGAATTAGTGAGCAATTGAAGGGAAAGATGAAATTGTTGTAAAAGTTAACAAGGGTAGATTGAGGGGTGCCTTGTTTCCTAGGCCCAGGAGCTTTCAGAGTGATCCAGTGTTTTTGGCTGGACCATAGCTCTCAGTCTTCCAGCTCTCTTGCTCTCTCTCTCTCTATACATTCTCTTTGGTCTGATGGAGTCTCCTAATCCATTGGCTATTTTTTTTTCCTCACTCTTTGGCCTGCCCATTGCTCCCTTCCACATCCAGCCTTTACCTTTTCTTGTGATGATTAAATCAGTTCTTATAATTAGAGTCACTTCTGGCCCTGTTGTTCTGCTTTACCTAACCATCCATGACCAGTGCAGCCTATCAGCTCAGCCTCCAGGCTGCTGTGGTGGAAGATAGTCCCACAACAACTTGCAGATTCTTGCTTTTACAAACCAGTGAGTGGTCTTCCATCTCAGTTGGGGCCTCTACCTTATCCAGCTGGCATTGTTTTAGCCCATTATCTTCCATTCCATTTGGTATATTTGGTACATTTCACTTCTCTCATTCAACCTCATACTTCATCATTTCTCCCCATACACTCAATAGACGAATTTGCCTATGACTTTATTGGGAAAATCTAATAAAAACTTAAAATCTTCAACTTCCTCCCCAGAAATCTAAAATGTCCTTATGAGCCTCAGCTCTATTTTTTCTCCTCTTTCACAGAAGTAGAATGATCTTCCCAAAGCTAGATTCCTTGTGTTAGGTCTCACTTACACCTGTTTTTTCAGTCACTTACTTAATTAGTCACCCTTTCTTGCTTGTATCTTCTACTTCAATCCAATAACATGTTAGCCTGTGCATATAAAGTTGGTAAAGCTTCTCCATTTATAAACACACACACTCACATACATCCATTAACCCTGGAGCCATCTGTAATAACTGAAGTCCCCAAAATTTCTCTTTCTGATTATGATCAGGCATTCTGAAATCTTTAAAGCAGATGAAGAGTATGAACTCTGGAATCAGACTTCCTGCATTCAAATTCTGGCTCTGCTAGCTATGGGTCCTTTGGCATATTACTTAACTTCTCTTTATCTTAGTAAACTCATCACTGAACCAGGATAGTAATAGTTCCTAGCTCATAGGGCTGTTGGGGAGATTAAAAGATTAATACATGTAAAACATGTGCAATAGGTCTTGACATCTATAAGCATTTAATATGTGGTAGTTATTAATACTATATTATTATTATTGGCTTTTTTCCTCATTCACTGATTTGTTCATTTAATTAATATTTATTAAGAACCTAATATTTGCCCAACACTGGATGTCCAATAATAAATAAAGAGAGACAAATTGCTTGTCCTAAAGCAGCTTAGAATGTAGTCAGTAGGACAGGTAATACATAAAAAAATGAATAACTAATTACAAAATGCCAATACTATGAGAGTTCAGAAACAAAAATATATTAGGGAAGGACCTATTTAAACAGTGGTTAGAAGACATTGTAACCTGTTCCTGAAAAGAGAGAAGCCATGCTTTTGTAGAACCCAAGAAAGAGCATTCCAGGCAGTAGGGAAAAGCATAAATGGAAGCTGTATTGGGGGATAGTGTTTGTCTTATTGCAGTAACTGTAAAAGTCCAGTATGGCTAGACCACAGTAGGCATAGGAGAGAGAGAGTGGTATGGGAAGAAGTTGGATAGATAGTTGGGTGATCACCTATTCAACACGAAGGTCATGGTACGGAAGCTGGATTTCATTCTAGATAAAATGGAAAGTGCCGGGTGTGGTGGCTCATGCCTGTAATCCCAGCACTTTGGGAGGCCAAGATGGACAGATCACCAGGTCAGGAGTTCGAGACCAGCCGGCCAATATGGGGAAACTCCATCTCTACGAAAAATACAAAAATTAGCCAGCTGCGGTGGTGTGTGTGCCTATAGTCCCAGCTACTCAGGAGGCTGAGGCAGGAGAATCACTTGAACCCGGGAGGCAGAGGTTGCAGTGAGTGGAGATCGTGCCACTGCACTCCAGCCTGGGTGACAGAGCGAGACTCTGTCTAAATAAACAAACAAAAAAACATGGAAAGCAATTGAAAGATTTTAGATGGGAGAACAGGTGATCCATTCTGTGATTTTAAAAGTACATTTTGAAGGCTGTAAGAAGAATGATTGGAGAGGGTTGGAGGAAACTGGAAGATTAGTAATGAAGGATTCACAGTATGCAATGATGGTGGCTTGGACTAGAGCTCTGGTAGCAGAGGCAAGGATGGTTCTATTTGAGACATAGTTGCAGGTTAGAGTGGATGGTGGAGTTGTATGTTGGGGGTAAGGAAAATGAAGGAATAAAGGAAGACTAGTTTCTGAATTGGACAAGACTAAGGAGTAGCAGGTTTTAGGAGAAATAATAAGTGCTTGGGACATATAAATTTTAAATATTGAGATGTTTGTGATTATATAGAGAGATAGGTAGATATAGTACATAGTAGTATATAATACAGATAGTATATCGTATATAAAGCTGGGTGTCCTATATAAGATATGCTATGTACATATAGAATATTATATACTGTATGCATATACTATAACTATATATATCCAATATACTATATATTATATATACTACGTAGCTGGGCCTCCTAGAAAAAAATGTGAAAATTCCAGAGCAGAAACATAACTTTGGAATTTATGTTATATTAGCATGTACATAGTATTTTATCTGTGGGAATAGGGCGTGTCATTCACATGGAAAGTGAATAGAGGGAGGAGGAGGTGCTTAGTGCTGTACCTGTGGCACCCCCAATTCACTGTTCAAGTCACTGCATGTGAGCTTCCATCCTCACACAGAGATAGGGAACAGAAATGCAAATTTGGGAGTCATTAGCATATAGCTGGTATTTAAAACCATGAGCACTGATGAGATCCTCTATGGGAAGAATGTGGAGAGAGAGAAGAAGGTGCCTAGTCTGAGCCCTGAGGTCTCCTCACTGACAGTTCACAAAGTTCCTCCAATCCCTGCAGGCTGATTTCTGTTCTTGCCAAGTCCCTGAACTAATTCTCCTGAGGCTTGCCAGTGACCCAGTTATTTCTCAGTCTGCTGGGGATATCTTCTGCTCCTTCTCTTCCCTCATCCCTGAGGCATTTGATTTTGTTAACCACTTTTTTCTTGAAACTCTATCCTACATTAGCTTTGTGATGGTGTTCTGTCTTGACTTTCCTTGTGTAATACTTTTTTGAGATTCTTTTAGTCTCTCTTACCCCTTGGATATTGATGCTCCTCAAGTCCTTTACTTAACATTCTGTCCTTCTAAATCTAATTCTTCATCCTGAGTGACTTTATCTAAAACCCTGATGCAGTGGCTTCTAAACTGGCCACCACGTTTGTGTCTCTAAATCTGCACATCTTAGCTGTGAACTAGACCTTCCCCTTACATGTTCCACAGGCTCTCATTTCATTAAGCCCAATGCTGAATTCTTCTTCTTTCCTTCAACATTTTGCTTTCACTTCTATTCCTTATTTTGGTGCCATCTTCTTCACTATTTCCCATTTCATCTGAATGCATAATATGTGAATCTTCCTTTCCCTTCATCGTGGTGTATAAATCAATCAGAAGTCTTATACACATTTTCCTTTAATTCCTATATATTATCGGTAATATTTGGCTCACGAGTCTTCTTTTTTCTTTTTTTCGTCCTTTTACCCAGTAAGGTCTTTCAATAACTCCCCCTTTATATTATTGCCTGAGGGATATTTCTGAAATGCTAATTGATCACATTATTATCCTACTAAAAGCCTCAAGTGTGTCATCGGGGCTGTAAGAACAAAGCTTAGGGTAGTGCTTGTACTTCCTTATGGATAGCTTCTGCTTTCTTTTCTATTGTAATTTGTTCTCATCTACACTTTCTTCAGATCATGCTGAGAAAGAAAGGGAGAAAAAGAGAGAACTTTTTTCCTTTATAACTTCTACTATTAGAGCATTTAATAACATTGAGGGATTGATTAAAGGCATTAGATTTAGGAAACTGACCTTTGTCAGAATTTTCCTCAAGTTACTTCAGTTATGATGGGGAAATACCATGGCACCAGCATTTCCAGGAAACGTGTTTGATAGAAACCATCAGCAAAATTTCAGGTGCTATAAGAATGAGAAAATAAAACTCAGAATTATATAATTCTAATAATTTATAATTATATTATAAATATAATATTGATAATGATATATAAGTATATATTAGTTTTCTATTGCTGCTGTAACAAAATTACCACAAACTCAGTGGTTAAAACAACACAAATTTATTATCTTACAGTTCTAGAGAATAGAAGTTTGAAATGAGTTTCACTGGGCTAAAATCAAAGTATCAGGAGGGTTTAGATCCTTGTTGGAGGCTCTAGAGAAATATGTGCTTGCCTGCGTTTTCCAGCATCTAGAGGCTGCCCACACTGATTCAGTGTTCCACATCACTCTGATACCTACTTCCACAGTCACACCTTCTGTTTGATTCTGGTCCTCCTGTCACCATCTTATAAGAACCCTTGAGATTATATTAGGCCATGCACGATAATCCAGGATAATCTATCCATCTCAAGGTCTGCAACTTAATAACACATACAAAACTCCTTGTATAATGTAAATTTACTTATCCACAGGTTCTAGGGTAAGATGTGGACATCTTTGGTGGGGAGGTATTATTTTGCCTGCTACAGAGAAATTGCAAGTAACTGGAAAAAAGATTAAAAAGGCTAAAACAAATATACTTTCAAAAATATTTTTGTTTTAATTTGTAAATTTTCAATGAATTTTTTTTCTTTTTTAAAGTTGGTTTGTAAGCTCAAATTAGTATGGAAAACAGAATTTTGGGTCCTCCTCTATGAAGTTACAGTAAAACATTTTCCATATATTCCAAAGCTACATTATCTAGTATTTTTATTTTCTCTGTATCTCTCAAAAGTATTTGACACAGAGGAAAAATCGTACAAAGAAATTTTGTGTCATTTTAGTTCTTTCCAACATTTTATATGCACTTATTCATTTCTTAAAATTATCTCTCAAAAAATAGCATAATCATGATATTTATGCAGGATAAGCCAAGCTGAAAATAATATTATTTTCTGCCTCCTGCTCCCTCTCTCCTTTTTCATTCTTCTTTCTTGTGAAAGGGAATTAGAGGTTTTTCAGGAAATCAAACATTAAGATAACAGTAAAGATGATCTCAAGAAACTAAAATTTCTCCTGGAGAAGAAGGCTGGGTCTGTTCAGTGTATATTTATTACATAATCTAGGGACTAAAGTGGAAGAAAGCACCTAAAAGAAATAAAACACTCATCTAAAGTTAATATTTTCTGATGGTAGATTTCAATTGTAACATTGTCCTGTACTGTATGAAGAACCTAGATCTTGCAGCATATGGTGATTACAAAACAAAGTGAAACACAAGACACAACAAAAAGTAATGAGTGACTATGTCAAGTTCCACCTATATTTGGAAAGCAACTCCAAATGATTTTTCTACCAGAAAGTGAGGTCAGTTGATTCATATTTGTTTGTTTATATAGAACACATTTTTTTCCCCTAGTAATGAGGACTGGATTTAAATTTCATTATACTTATTAACTGATAATAAGTAACTTACAGTTGAAAGAATACCCTATTACAATCAAAATACATGCAATTTAGTTCACTTGTTGCTTGTGTGATTGTGAACAAGTCTGATAATTCATCTGAGGTCCAGTATTTTTTAATAGATGAAATGGAAGTACAAGTTAAGTCACTGGAATGCTCACCTCATGACTGTGGCTATTGTTTTGCATTCTGAAGCTTTCAGTTAGTCCATGAGGTCCTGTGATCAGTCTTCTCAATGAATTGCTCCTCCATTTTAATGTTCTTTTTATAACTATAAATAATTTAAATCAAAAGTGTGCTTCTTTAATTCCAAAGAACATTGTTGTTTAGTTACAAGGGGAAAATGCAGCTATGACAACCATGTAACTGAACACCTTTCCTACACAGAAGCACAGTACTTGAGGAATTTGATTGATGTAGATGCCAAAATAACAGGTGCATTTAAAACACAAAAATTCAAGAATAATTGCATTTATTAGTTAAGTAAAACAAAGACAAGGTATATTTTACCTTTTACTCAGAAATACTGGTTTTATCTACCAAAATTGAGTGATAGAAATGTACTTAGGAAAGAAACCCATTTTCTGCAGTTTGTCAATCAAAATGAATAATCTAAAAGTCTCATTTTCAATTAGATTATTTTAATATTTAACTACCTAAAATGCCCCAATCATATTCTTTAGAAAATGGTTAGACTAGAATACTGCAGTTCTAATCATGACATTTTATTATGATAAAAATGACTTCATTAATTGATGATCATATATCAACCCATAAAATAAGGATATAAAAAGTTTTCCAGCCTAAGATAGTATAAGACCATTTGAATTGTTTGGGTTTTTTTTTTTTTTTTTTCCAGAAATAAATCTTTATAATCCTTTTATTCTTATGAAAATGTATAAGTTTCTTTGTTATAAATTCAACTATATTTTCTAGCCAATGAATTCATTTTTTAATATCTGAATAGGCTGAGAATACATTGATATTCCATATCCAGCATTAGGATATAATACAACAATAAATATACTGTATTTGCAACAGAATTTTATAAGAGATGGCAAACACTATAGTAAGTTTTGGGTTTTTATCCCAGATGTTCCCATTTATGGCTTTAGATCTATTTTACAGCATGTAGATTTTTTTAAAAAGTGCATTGATGACTTTCCAGATATTTGAAATATGACCTTTTAAAGAAATCAGTCTTGTTTCTCCTTTATTCTCTGCATCCTTGAAAGAACATTCACAACTTCATAATGAAAATGATATCAAAAGGTCACTATACTGAGGATGGAAAACAGTACATTTAAGCATGACATGAGAGCTTTGTTTTAACTTAAAAGTAACTGTGAAGTGTAAAACATCATCTAAACACAATTGTTGATTTCTGAAGCAAAATGTCTTTTGCTTTATAAAAGCCTTCTTAATAAATATTAATGTTTAAACTCTAATGCAATCAGATGAACTTTTTTGAATAGAAATTTAAAGAAATTTTACTGAATCTAATTGAAGTAATTAACTTGTACATTTCCACCTTTACAGGAAACTATTGAATTGTAGAGGGCCTTAAGCTTCTAAAAAGCATATAAACTGTAATATTAACTTATTTAAATACAGTTATGTGTGAGTCCAATTTGCATTTCTATAAAGGAATACCTAAGGCTGGGTCATTTACGAAGAAAGAGGTTTATTTTGGCTCATGGTTCTGCAGATCCTACAAGAAGCATAGTGCCAGCACCTGCTTTGGCTGAGGCTGCAGGGAGCTTACAGTCATGGCAGAAGGGGAAGAGGGAGCAGGTGTGTCACATGGCAAGAGAGAGAAAGAGAGAGAGGAGGAATTTCCAAGCTCTTTTAAACAACTAGCTCTGTTGTGAAGTGATCTAGTGAGAACTCACTCATTATCGTGAGAATAGCACCAAGCCATTGATGAGGGATCCACCCCCTGACCAAAACACCTCCCACTAGGTCCTCCTCCAACACTGGAGGTCATGTTTCAGCATGAGATTGGGAGGCAAATGTCAAAACCACATCAATCCATAAGTTCTAAATATAAATATGCTTAGTAATATAACCATATAATATTGTTAATACCTGGACAATTAATTCTTATTAAAAGAATATATATTTCATTCATTCAGTTGGTCTGTTGAATTGGAAAGGACAGTTCTTCATACTATTTCTTCAATAGATAGCATACAATCAATTTGAATTTTAATTTTTGATATACTATAATTTATAAAAAGAATAAACAATTTTATATACAGGGAAGTCTTAAAAATAACTGTGGAGACCTATTTGAGTTTTATGATATCATGACACCTTATGAGGTCATGAAATTAAATGAGATATTATATATTCAAAGCATGCAGGATAGTCTTTTCCACGTGCTATTTACTCAATAAGCAAAAAGAGGTGCAAAATGTGTTATCCAAAATCCTAGGGTTAGATGTGTTTTGGAGTTATCAATATTTTAGATTTAGAAAAGTAATATGGTGCAACATTATTACTTGACACCCCCAGAAGGGCCTAAGGCAGCATCCCATAATCTAACATATTAATACATCTGCAGCAAAGCATACGAATATTTACTCTAACTGGAATAAAGAAAGACTGTTAATAGCCTTTATCTCCTGGATGATTTTATCACCTAATGGGCTTGTGCCAATTTAAAAAATCCTTCTGGTTTTCAGAGCTTTTTGGATTTTAGAGCTGCAGATAAGGGGTTGAGAACTGCTAATATGAAAGTTATAATAGTGTTGGATTAGGAAAATAAAGGTTTTCTGTATCAAAGGGTTGAATGCATAATTTCTGAAATAGGGCAAACTAATAATTATTTAATTAAGGTTAACTTACCTGACAGTGTAACACGCACAGACTTTAAACAACAATTTTGCAAAACACGCAAAAAAATTCAATAAGGAGAAGGGGGAAAAATAAAGTTTAATATCAGAATAGATTTTCCTATATGTAATTAGAAGTTAGGAATCCATCATATTTAGTTCTAAGCCTTCTTGTCTTCTAAGTAGGTTCTTCCTTCAATGTCCATCTCACCTGTCACTTAAGTGTGGATGTCATATAAATTATAATGGACCATACATCACTTCCAAGTTCCAGACATACGTCTAGCTACCTATTTCATTTCCCCTCCTGGACATCTTCAAGGCTTCAAAAATTCAATATGTTTAAAACCAAATTCATGATTCTCTATTCTTTCTTGAACACCAGTCTTCTCAGTAAAGGACATCACTATCCATTCAGTTACTTAAGCCAGGAACTCAGGTGTCATTCCTTAATCTATTTCTAAACATCTCTTGAATCCAGCTATTTGTCTCCACATCACAACTTTACCCTCACCACATGACCCTCATTCAAGTAATGCTTTTTTCTTTCTTGGACTCCCTCATTTACTCTTCAGCATTTATCTGAATAAACTTTTATTTGCCCCTCCCTTTATTAAAGAAAATAAGACACCTTTATATAGCTAAAGGATTGCATGGGCTGGCCCTACTAGCCTCTACAGCCCCTTTGGACCATGTCATTATTTTTCTGCTCTAGCTCCATTATCCTTTCAGTGTGTTTTTCTCCCCTTGCTTCCTTTCACCACAGGATCTTTGCATATACTGCTCCATCTCTCCGAAATGCTTTTTACTATACTCTTGATGTAGTTACTTCCTGTTCACCCATCCTGTTTGAGCCCTATCATCCCATCCTTTGGGAAGTCTTCCCTGACCTCTGTGTAGACAATGTCCTTTTCCTATGTGCTCAAAGTCATGTGCATTTCTCCGTCCTATCATTTATAGCACTTAACCATTTATAGTCATTTGTGTGATTGATTAAAATCTGTCTCTTCCACCTGCCCATAAGCTACATGAGGAGAGAGACCATGTTTGACTGTGCCTACCACTCTGCCCACTCAAGTGCCTATCGTATATAGGCATGCATATATTTGTTAAATGAATCAATCAGTGAATTTACTAGCAAGAACTGACTTTCACTTGAATGACTTGTTCCTATTTTATCTAGTTTCTGCTTGGTTTTATGACACCTTTTACCTTCAAGGGTTTGCCACATTGTGTTATAGTTATATGTTTAAATATTTATCTCCCCTAATATACTGTGAATTCTTTGAAGAGTGGGTTATATCTGTTTTGTTTCATTATATCTCCAGAGTCCATTGCAGTAATATGAAACATGATATGTAGTAGACACTCAAAAATATTTGCAGATTCAATTAATGCTAAACTGTGAGCACAGTGTCAAGTGTATTTTAAGTATCATTACTTACATTTTCTGAATGTTTCACATTAACTTATTTTGATTATTGATGATGGGGACAGTTGACTTTAGTATGTGCATGGCTGTTGTATTGTTTTGAGGCCAAAATGAAGTTGACAGTCTCTGTCTTAATTCAAGTTTACATCTTAAAAAATTACTCATACTTTTAAAAAATGGATCAGCCTAAACAAACCATGGTTATTGCTGGTATTCATTTTATTTATTTTAAAGGTATAACATGGTAATTTTACTGAGAAACTATTATAAACAAATCAATGCATGTATAAATGGAGGTAGATGAAATTGTAAGGGAAGCTTAGACTTTATAGACCAAATTCAAGTGTTCGTCAAGTGCAAGAATTTTACTGCTAGAACACCATTGAATTAGAAAAACTCTGCTTAATAATACTCATGTCTTTTTAGTCTTTTAAGTGTGGATCTTTTCTCAAAGACACACCACTGGAATTATCCAAATTCAAATGATTGGGACTGAAGGAATATGTTACAATCACATTTTATATTATTATCCATTAAATAGCTTTGGATTATATAATACGCAGCTGAAATATGCTGACAGTTATTCAGAAACCTAAGTAAAACTTTTGATGAACCGGGCTCTACTTTAGTTCAGTAGTTATATCTCAATCAGACAAGCTCGACTGTATAATTTAAGTTTTAGTCAAGATGAGATTTATGGGTATATCATATCCACAGACTGCTGTGAGGAAAGAAAGATTTGAAGAAATGAGTTATTAATCTTTACTGCAGAACATTAACAAATGTCATGTGGCTTTTATGAGTTGGTACCTAGGAGGTAGTAGTTTCATAAGCCCCCCAAAATAGATTTCCTCTTATATACCTCTGATACCAAGAACATAATTAATAGTTACCTATTATTCACTTGTGAAGCTCAGAGTTTTAGTTCATTTATTAAATTCAAGCTTAGTATGAAATTAACAAAATTAAATAAGGGCTGTCATATTATAATGAATGGAATGGTCTTGCTTTTTGATATGTATATGTGCCTATGTGCATGCATGTGTGTATGTATTTGGTGATGTTGTATATGTTTTTATTTACTATCACCAGGTAATTACTTAGAATAAATCTAATTCTGCCTGTAAATATTTCTGTTCGTATTCTTGCTGATGGTTTAAACAGGCTTATTAGGTAGGCACCCATGTTTGCTTTGGTAATTTGATTGGCTATTATAATAACAGTGATAAAAAATCTTGTTATTGAGATAATTGCCTGTCTGATGTTTGCCATCACTTTTTAGTTTTGAGTTTCAAAAGGCCAGTACCCAAGAAGCGGATTTATCTCCTCCCAGGTTCTTTGCCCTCAGTTTAGATAAGTGGTCTCCAGGTGGGTGGTGACATATAGGTCACAGCCCTGCTTTCTGGAGAGGAATCACTTTCCCTTGGGACTGGTTTTAACAAAGCACAAACTCTCATTAAATGTTTGCTGAGTGAATGTTGAAAGAATTAGCTGAGGGCTTTTACCATTATTGTATGCTTTCTGTATAGAAAGATAATATTTTAAAAGAAGCTAAAATGAATATAATCCTACATAAATATGAATTACATTTAAAAGCATTTGTATGATGTTATCACAATATTTAAGGAGATATGATGCAAGTAGACAGTCTTATACAATAGAGAATCATGGGGTTGATGGCATCCTTCACAATTTTTTTGCTGCAACTACCCACTTGTTTCTTAAATTTCTTATACAATATGCTGTCTCTACTGTTATTCACCTAGTAGGATCTGAAACACATACAAGAACTAAGTCAAAAGACTACAGCGTAGAACACTAGAAAGTAAATCGTGGGAATAAGTCACGTATTTAGGAGCATAATTTGTAAACCATTTTGTGAAAATAATCATATCTCCGTGTGGGGGCATGAAGAACCTTTCTAGCCAGCATTGCTTGGCTGGCCCACATTATTCCACAACTCTCCCCACTACCAGGAGATTTTAAAATTCAAATGCAAATAGGTAAGTTAATAACATTTAGTTAATCTTAATTAATTTCTGACTAAATCTTTGGTGATTTGTAGAGTTGAACCCTCTGAGACTGATCCAAACTTGGGGATGTCAAATCAGATACCAAATACCCTGAAATCATCTTTGTGTTGGTTTAGCTGCTATTATCAGAGAGTGATACCTGACTTTTTTCTATGGCCTAGGTTGCTTTCCCATGGATCTCTATCAGTTCTCTCAGTAGTCAGAACTCCTGCATTAATTTCCTGTCTAAAAAAAAGATAGAAAAACACAAAAAGGTAAAACCGTAGATACATACATTTTGTATATGTAATTGTATTGGCCCGTTCTCATGCTGCTGGTAATTACACACCCAACACTGGGAAATTTACAAAAGAAAGAGGTTTAATCGACTTACAGTTCCGCATGGCTGGGGAGGCCTCACAATCATGGTGGAAGGTGAAAGACACATCTCACATGGTGGCAGACAAGAGAAGAGAGATTGTGCAGGGAAACTCTCCCTTATGATACCATCAGATCTCATGAGACTTACTCACTATCATGAGAACAGCATAGGAAAGACCTGCCCCATGATTCAATTACCTCCCACCAGGTTCCTCCCACAACATGTGGGAATTCAAGATAAGATTTGGGTGGGGACACAGCCAAATCATATCATTCTGCCCCCATCCCTCCCAAATCTCATGTCTTCATATTTCAAAGCCAGTCATGACTTTCCAACAGTCCCCCAAAGTCTTAACCCATTTCAGCATTAACTCAAATGTCCACAGTCCAAAGTCCCATCTGAAACAAGCCAAGTCCCTTCGCCTATGAGCCTGTAAAATCAAAAGCAAGTTAGTTACTTCCTAGATACAGTGAGGGTGCAGGCATTGGGTAAATACAGCCATTCCAAATGGGAGAAACTGGCCAAAAAAAGTGGGCTACAGGCCCTATGCAAATCTGAAATCTGGCAGGGCAGTCAAATCTTAAATTTCCAAAATGATCTCCTTTGATTCCATGTCTCACATCCAGGTCACACAGATGCAAGAGGTGGATTCTCATGGTCTTGGGCAGCTCCACCCCTGTTGCTTTGCAGAATGTAGCCCCTCTCCTGGCTGCTTTCATGGGCTGGTGTTGAGTGTCTGAAGCTTTTCCAGGTGCATGGTGCAAGCTGTTGGTGGATCTACCATTCTGGGGTTTGGAAGATGGTGGCCCTCTTCTCACAGCTCCACTAAGCAGTGGTCCAGTAGGGACTCTGTGCGGAGGCTCTGACCCCACATTTCCCTTCTGTACTGCCCTAGCAGAGGTTCTCTATGAGGGCCCTGTCCCTGCAGCAAACTTCTGCCTGGGCATTCAGGCATTTCCATACATCCTCTGAAATTGAGGTGGAGGTTCCCAAACCTCAATTCTTGACTTCTGAGCACCGTAGGCTCAACACCTCATGGAAGCTGCCAAGGCTTGGGGCTTCCGCCCTCTGAAGCAACAGCCCTAGCTGTACCTTGGCCCCTTTTAGTCACAGCTGGAGCAGCTGGGACACAGGACACCAAATTTCTAGGTTGCATACAGCATGGGGACCCTGGGACTGGCCCAGGAAACCATTTTTTCCTCAGAAACCTCTGAGCTTGTGATAGTAGAGGCTGCTTCCAAGGTCTCTGTCATGCCCTGGAAACATTTTCCCCATCGTCTTGGTGATTAACATTCAGCTCCTCATTAGTTATGCAAATTTCTACAGCCCACTTGAATTTCTTCTCAGAAAAGCCCATTTACTTTTCTATTGCATTGTCAGGCTGCAAATTTTCCAAACTTTTATGCTCTGTTTCCCTCATAAAACTGAATGCCTTTAACAGCACCCAAGTCACCTCTTGAATGCTTTGCTGCTTAGAAATTTCTTCTACCAGATACCCTAAGTCATCTCTTTCAAGTTCAAAGTTCCACAAATCTCTACAGCAGGGGCAAAATGCTGCCAGTCTCTTTGCTAAAACATAGTAAGAGTTGCCTTTGCTCCAGTTCCCAACAAGTTCCTCATCTCCCTCTGAGACCACCTCATCCTGGACCTTATTGTTCATATCATTCTCAGGCTTTTCATCAAAGCCATTCAACAAGTCTCTAGGAAGTTCCAAACTTTCCCACATTTTCCTGTCTTCTTCTGAGCCCTCCAAACTGTTCCACCTATACCTGTCACCCAGTTCCAAAGTCGCTTCCACATTTTTGGGTATCTTTTCAGCAGTGCCCCACTTTACTGGTACCAGTTCACTGTATTAGTCCATTTTCATGCTGCTGATAAAGACATACCTCAGACTGGGCAATTTACAAAAGAAAGAGGTTTAATCAACTTACAGTTTCACATGGCTGGGGAGGCCTCACAATCATAGTGGAAGGTGAAAGGCATGTCTCACATGGCAGCAGACAAGAGAACAGAACTTGTGCAGGGAAACTCCCCCTTATGAAACCGTCAGGTCTCATGAGACTTACTCACTATCATGAGAACAGCATAGGAAAGACCTGCCCCCATGATTCAGTTACCTCCCACCAGGTCCCTCCCACGAAGTGTGGGAATTCAAGATGAGATTTGGGTGGGGACACAGCCAAATCATATCAGTAATACTGATCTCCCTATGATTATGTTTTTTTTTTTTCCAACCAGGAGATGGCTTTTTCTCTTCCTTACCAACTATTCTCTTCATTGTACTTGCATGAATTTGTGTGATTCTAATTTTTCTTAAAAATTTTGGTTTACTCAATAAGCATACTGCCCCTGGTTCTTTGGTTAATGGATCTAAGCATTATTTTAATATTGGACTGTATTTTTTAGGGAAGTTTTAGATTCATAGCAAAATTGAGCAGAAGGTACTGAGATTTTCCACATATACCCTGCCTGACACATGCCTACCCTTCTCTTTTATCAATAACCTTCACCAGAGTGGTTCATTTGTGAATATTGACGAACCTACATTGACACTTCACTATCACCCAAAGACCATAGTTTACATTAGAGGTCACTCTTGGCATTGTACATTCTATGGGTTTGGACAAATGCATAAGGATATGTATTCCTCATTATACTGAACATAGAGTTGTTCGTAGTATTCACTTATTACCCCTTTCATGTTCATAGGATCTGTATAGATATTTATTCTTTTATTTTTGATAATAATTTGTGTCCTCCCTCATTTTTAGTTAACTTTCTTAGTTAGCTAGAGGCTTATTAATTTTATTGATCTTTTCAAAAAATCATATTTAGGTTTAGTTAACTTTCTTTATTGATTTCCTGTTTTCAACTTTATTGATTTCTTCTTTAATTGTTATTATTCCTTTTCTTCTACTTACTCTGGATTTGATTTGTTCTTCTTTTTCTTGTTTCCTAAGTTGGAAGCTCAGGTTAATTTTAGATTTTTCTTTTAACATGTACATAAAATGCCATTAATTTTTCTCTAAGCACTGTTTTCATTGCAGCTCACAAATTTTAGAATGTTGTGTTTTTATTTTTAGTTAATTCAAAATATTTTAAAACTTGCTTTGAGATTTCTTCTTTCACTTGTGTAATGTAAAAGTGTGTGGTTTAATCTCCAAATATTTTGAGGGTTTTTTTTAGCTATCTTTTTGTTATTGATTTGTAGCTTAACTCAATTATCTGAGTGCAGATATTGTATGATTTTTTAAAATTTAATTTGTATAGTGTCTTTTATGGTTCAGAATGTGGTCTATCTTGGTACATATTCCATGAGAGCTTGAGAAAAATGTGTATCCTGTTGGTGGTGGTAAATAGTCTATTATATATTAAATATGTCTGTCTGATTGATACTTTTGTTGTCTTTAACTATCTCCATACTGATTTTCTGCCTGTCGGATTCAATCATTTCTGGCAGAAGTGTACTGAAGTATCCACCTGTAATAGTGGACTCATTTCTATCTCCTTGCCGTTCCCTGTGTTTTTGGATCATGTGTTTTGACCTTCTGTTTTTGGGCATATAAATATTAAGGATTGTTATGTTTTTTAGAATATTGATCTTTTTTTAAATCATCTAATGGCCCTCTTTATCCCTAATCACTTACCTTGCTGTGAGGCCTGCTCTGTCTAAAGTTAACATAGTAATTCTTGCTTTTTCTTGATTACTGTTAGCATAATAAATCTTTTCCCATCCACTTACTTTTAATTATTTAATTTTTTTTTTTAAATTTAAAGTTTAAAAATGGTAATGTGAGAGAGGAGTGTGAGGCTGAAGGGTGCTGGCCTGGCCTAGCCCTACTTTTAATTTATATATGTGTCATTTCATCTAAAGTAGATTTCTTGTTATCTGTCTTTTAGTTGATGCATTTAAACCATTGATGTCCATTGATGTTAAAAGTGGTTATTAATATATTTGGATTAATATCTATTCTATGTGTTACTATTTTCTATTTGTTACCCTTGTTCTTGCTCCTATCTTTGTCTTCCACTCTTTTTTCGCCTTTTGTGGTTTTAATTGAGCATTTTATATGATTTCATTTGCTCTTCTTTCTTAACATATCAGTTATACTATACTTTAAAAGAAAATTTAGTGGTTGCCCTAGAGTTTGCAATATACATTTACAACTAATCCAAGTCCACTTTCTTTTTTTAAAGTTTTAATGTTTGTGAGTATGTAACAGGGGTGCATTTATGAGGTACATAAAATATTTTGATACAAGCATAAAATGAATAATAATCACATGAGGGTAAATTGGGTATCTATCACCTCAAGTATTTATCCTTGTGTTACAAACAATCCAATTATACTCTTTACTTATTTTTAAATGTACAATAAATTATTGTTGACCATAGTCACCCTGTTGTGCCATAAAACACTAGATCTTATTCATTATATCTAATGATATGTTGGTATCCATTAACCACCTCCAGTACCCCCACTACTCTTCCCAGCCTCAGGCAACCATTGTTCTATTACATAGCTCAATGAGTTCAATTATTTTAATTTTTAACTCCCACAAATAAATGAGAACATGTGAAGATTGTCTTTCTGTGCCTGACTTATTTCACATAACAAAATGACTTCCAGCACCGTCCATGCTGTTGCAAATGATAGGATGTCATTCATTTTTATGGCTAAATAGTACTCCAGTGTGTATATGTACCACATTTTCTTCATCCATTCATATGTTGATAGATCCTTAGGTTGCTTCCAAATCTTAGCTAGTGTGATTAGTGCTGCAGTAAACATGGGAGTGCAGATATCTCTTTGATATACTGATTTCCTTTCTTTTGGGTATATACCTTGCAGGGGGTTGCTGGATCATATGGTGACTCTATTTTTAGTTGGTTGAAAAGCCTCCAAACTTTTCTCCATAGTGGTTGTACTAACTTACATTCCCACGAAGAGGGTACAAGGGTTCTTTTTTCTCCACATTCTCACCAGCATTTGTTATTACCTGTCTTTTGGATTAAAAGCCATTTTAACTAGGGTGAGATTATGTCTCATTGTAGTTTTGGATTTGCATTTCTCTGATGATCAGTGATGTTGAGCACCTTTTTATATACCTTTTTGTATGTCTTCTTTTGAGCACCTTTTTATATACCTGTTTGTCTTCTTTTGAGAAATGTCTATTTGGACTATTTGCCCATTTTTAATTGGATTATTAGATTTTTTTCTATAGAGTGTTTGAGCTCCTTATATATTCTGTTTATTAATCCCATGTCAGATGACTAGTTTGCAAATATTTTCTCCCATTCAATGGGTTGTCTCTTCACTTTGTTGATTGTTTCCTTTGCTGTGCAGAAGCTTCTTAACTTGATGTGATCCCATTTGTCCATTTTTGCTTTGGTTGCCTGTGCTTGTGGGATATTACTCAAAAAATAACTGCCCAGTCCAATGTCCTGGAGAGTTTCCCCAATGTTTTTTTTGTTTGTTTGTTTTTGTGTTTTTTTTGTTTGTTGGTTGTTTTTTTTTTTTCCTGAGACTGAGTCTCGCTCTGTCGCCCAGGCTGGAGTGCAGTGGCATGATCTCGGCTCACTGCAACTTCCGCCTCCAGGGTTCAAGCAATTTTCCTGCCTCAGCCTCCCGATTCGCTGGCACTACAGGCGCACACTGCCACGTCTCGTTAATTTTTTTCAGTAGTTTCATAGGTTTAAGTCTCAATCCATTTTGATTTGATTTTTGCATATGATAAGAGATAGGGTCATATTGTCATTTGTTTTTCTGTATACGAATGTCTAATTTTCCCAGCATCATTTATTGAAGAGACTGTCATTTCCCCAATATGTGTTATTGGCACCTTTGTCTAAAATGAATTCACTTTACATTTATGGATTTGTTTCTGGGTTCTCTATTCTGTTTCATTGGTTTATGTGTCAGTACAATGCTGTTTTTGTTACTATAGCTCTGAAGTATAATTTGAAGTCAGGTAATGTGATTCCTCCAGTATGTTATTTTTGCTCTGGATAGCTTTGGATATCCTGGGTGTTTTGTGTTTCCGTATTAATTTTAGGACTGTTTTCTTTTTTTTTTTTCTATTTCTGTGAAGAATGTCATTAGTATTTTGATAGGGATTGCATTGAATCTGTAGATTGCTTTAGGTAATATGGACATTTTAACAATATTGATTCTTCCAATTCATTAGCATGGAATGTCTTCCCATTTTTTGGTGTCCTCTCCAATTTCTTGCATTAATGTTTTATAGTTTACATTGTAGAGATCTTTCTCTTCTTTGGTTAAGTTAATTCCTAGGTATTTTATTTTATTTGTAGCTATTGCAAATGGGATTACTTTCTTGATTTCTTTTTCAGATCGTTCACTGTTGGCATATATTGAAATCAGAAATGTTACTGATTTTTGTATGTTGATTCTGTATCCTGCAACTTTACTGAATTTATCAGTTCTAATAGCTTTTTTGTGTGGAGTCTTTAGGTTTTTCCAAATGTAGGATCATTTAATCTGCAAACACAAATAAATTTACTTCTTCCTTTCCAATTTGGATGCCATTTATTTCTTTCTCTTGTCTGATTGCTCTAGCTAGGACTTCCAGTACCATGTTGAATAATAGGCACCTTGTGTTCCAGATCTTAGAGGAAAGGATTTCAGTTTTTTTCCTGCTCAGTATATTATCTGTGGGTCTGTCCTATGTGGCTTTTATTGTATTGAGGTGAGTTGCTTCTATATTCAGTTTTTTGAGGGTTTTTATCTTGAAGTGTTCAATATTATCAAATGCTTTTTTCCATATCAATTGAAATGATCATGTGGTCTTTGTTCTTCATTCTGTTGATATGATGTATCACATTATTTTGCATATGTCTGACCATCTTTTTACATCCTTGGGATAAATCCCATTTGGTCATGATGAATTTTTAATGTGTTGTTGAATTTAGTTTGATAGTATTTTGTTGAGGATTTTTGCATCAATGTTCATTGGGGATAGTGGCCTGTAGTTTTCTTTTATTGATATGTCTTTGTCTGGTTTTGAGATCAGAGTAATACTGACCTTGTAGAATGGGTTTAGAAGTTTTCCCTCCTCCTTTATTTTTCAGAAAGTTTGAGTAGTATTGGTATTAATTCTTTAAATGTTTGGTAAAATTAAGCAGTGAAGCCATTGCCTTTTTTTTTTTTTTTGCTAGGAGACTTATTATGGCTTTGATCTTGCTACTTATTATTTGTTCAGATTTTGGATTTCTTCGTGGTTCAATCTTGGTACATTGTACATGTCTAGGAATTTGTCCATTTCTCCTAGATGTTTCCAATTTATTGGCATATACTTGCTCATATCACAGTAGCCCTAATAATCATTTGAATGTCTGTGATATCAGTTGTAATGTCTCCTTTTTCATCTCTCATTTCATTTATTTGTGTCTTCTCTTCTTTTTTCTTAGTTAGCCTGGATAAAGGTTTGTTGATTTTGTTTATCTTTTCAAGAAAGCAACTTTTCATTTTGTTGATCTTTTGTATGGTTTCTTTCATTTAAACTTTATTTATTTCTGTTCTGATCTTGCACTAATTTGGGGTTTACTTTCTCTTGCTTTTCTATTTCTTTAAGATGCATTGTTAGGTTGTTTATTTGAAATGTTTCTACTTTTCTCATTTAGGTGTTTATACCCATAAACTTTCCTCTTAGTACTGCTTTTACTGTATTTCATACATTTTGGTATATTGTGTTTTCATTATCATTTGTTTCAAGAAATTTTTAAATTTCCTTCTTAATTTCTTAATTTGCCCACTGGTCATTCAGGAGCATATTTTTATATTTCCATGTGTTTGTGTAGTTTCCAAGATTCCTTTTGTTGTTGATTTGTAGTTTTATTTCATTGTGGTCAGAGAAAATACTTGACATAATATCAATATTTTTAAAATTTTTAAGACTTATGTGAATTTTTAAGACTTGTTATGTGGTCTCTCCTTGAGAATGATCAATGTGTTGAGAAGAAGAATGTGTATATTGTAGCCATTGAATGAAATGTTCTGTAAATATCTATTAGGTTTATTTGGTTTATAGTTCAGATTAAGTCTGATGTTTCTTTATTGATTTTCTGTGTGGATGATCTCTTCAATGCTGAAAGTGGGGTATTGAAGTTTCTAGCTGTTATTGCATTGGGGTTGCTCTCTCTCTCTTTAGCGCTAATAATATTTGTTTTATATATCTGGATGCTCCAGTTTTGGGGCACATATATATTTATAATTGTTATATCTTCTTACTGATTGGCTACGTTATCATTATATAATGACCTTCTTTGTCTCTTCTTACACCTTTTTTCTTGAAATCTACTTTATCTATTATTAGTATAATGACTGTTGCTATTTTTGGTTTCCATTTGCATGGAATATCTTTTTCAATCCCTTTCTTTTCATTCTATGTGTATCTTTATAGCTAATGTGTGTTTCTTATAGACTACAGATTGTTGTGTGTTTTTTTTTACTTATCCATTCAGCCATTCTATGTTTTTTTGATTGGAGAGTTTAGTCCATTTACATTCAATGTTATTATTAATAAGGAAGAAAGTACTCTTGCATTTTGTTATTTTTTTCTGTTTGTTATGTGGTCTTCTCTTCCTTCTTTCCTTTATTTCTGTCTTCTTTTTAGAGAAGGTAGTTTTCTCTGGTGGTATGTTTTAATTTCTTGCTTTTTCTTTTTTGTGTATCTGCTGAATGTTTTTTCATTTGAGTTACCACGAGGCTTGCAAATACCATCTTATAACCTATTGTTTAAATAGGTAAGTTGATGACAACTTACCACTGACTGCATAAAATTTTGTTTTTCTCATTTTAGGATCCTTTCTTTATTCTTGACCTTTGGTGTTTGATTATTAAATGTCTTAAGGTAGCCTTCTTTGAGTTAGATCTATTTGGTGTTTTAGTACCTTCTTGTGCTTGAATATTGATATCTTTCTCTAGGCTTGGGAAGTTCTGTGTTATTACCCATTTGAATAAATTTTCTATCCCTCTCTCTTCCTCTACCTCCTCTTTAAGGCCAATAACTCTTAGATTTTCCCTTTGGAGGTTATTTTGTGGATCCTGTAGGCATGCTTAATTCTTTTTTATTCTTTTTCCTTTTGTCCCCTCTGACCATGTATTTTCAAATATTCTGTCTTCAAGTTCAATAATTCTTTCTTCTGCTTGATGAATTCTGCTGGTAAGAGACTCTGATGCGTTCTTCAGCATGCCTATTGAACTTTTAACCTCCAGAATTTTTGCTTAAAATTATTTCAATCTCTTTGTTAAATTTACATGATAATATTCTGAATTGCTTCTCCATTTTGTCTTGAATTTCACTGAATTTCTTCAAAACATCTAGTTTGAATTCTTTGCCTGAAAGGTCATATATCTCTGTTTCTCTGAGATTTGTTCCTGGTGACTTGTTTAGTTTATTTGGTGAGGTCATATTTTCCTGTAAGGTTTTTATGCTTGTGGATGTTTGTTGGTGTCTGGGCAGTGAAGAGTTAGGTATTCATTTTATTCTTTTCAGTCCGGGCTGGTTTGTACCCATCCGTCTTGGGAAGGCATTCCAGGTATTTAAAGGGACTTGGATGTTGTAATCTAAGTTCTTGGTCACTGCAGTGGTATCTGCATTAGGAGGCAGCTAAAGATTAGTAGTGCTGTGGCTCTTGCAGACTCATACATGTACCACCTTGGCGGTCTTAGATAAGATCCAGAAGAATTCTCTGTGTTGTCTGGCACGGACTCTTGTTCTTTTCCCTTACCTTCTCTCAATCAAATGGAGTCTTTCTCTGTGTGCTGAGCTACCTGGATCTTGGGGAGGGGTGACACAAGCACCCCTCTGGCCACCTCCAATGGGACTATGCTGTGTCAGAACTGAAGCCAGCACAGCACTGGGTTTTGCCCAAGGCCCGTGGTAACCATTGCTTGATTACTGTTTATGTTTCTCTCAAGGGCCTAATGCCCTACAATCAGCAGGTAGTAAAGTCAGCCAGACTTGTGTCCTCACCCTCAGGGTGATGAGATCCCCCTCCCCATGCTAGTCCAGAGATACCAGCTGGGAGCCAGGGCCTGTATTTAAAAACCTTAGGAATCTACCTGGTTCTCTTTTCTACTGCAGCTGAGCTGGCACCCAATCCACAAGACAAAGTCCTTCCCACTCTTTCTTTTCCTTTTCACAAGCTACGGACTCTCCCAAAGCTATTACTGCCCCAGGCCTGTGGTGAGTACTATCTGGTTGGTTACTCCCAATGTTCACTCAAGACCCAAGGTCTCTTCAGTCAGCTTTTGGTGAATGCTGCCAGCTCCAGGACTCTCCCTTTAGTGCAGTGGGCTTCCCTCTGGCCAAGAGAATGTCCAGCAATGCTGTCTGATAGCCAAGTTCTGGAATTGAGGGCCCTAAGAGCTCACTGGGTGCTCTACCCCAGTGTGGCTAGCTTTTACTTAAGATGCAAGACAAAGTCTTCTTTACTCTTCCCTCTCCTTTTCTCAAGCAGAAGGAGTCTCTCCCCAAACCCACCATAGCTGGGAATACGTTGGATCACATCTAAGCCAGCATGTCTCTGAGTCTCACTCAAGGCCCATCACAAGTACTGCCTGGGTAGTACTGCTGATTATTCAGGGCCCAGGGTCTAATTAGCATTTTAAAGATCCTGCCATGACTGGATCCTTCCCTGCTATGAAGTAGGTTCCCTTCTGGCCCAGGATGTATCTAGAAATGGCCATGAGCTAGGCTCTGCAATGAGGGCCTCGAGACTCTGCCTTGTTCTTATCCTATTGTGGCTGAGCTGGTACCCATGTTGCAAGACAAAGTCTTCCTTATTCTTTCCCTTCCCCTCCTCAAGCATAAGGAAAGAGTCTTTCCTGGTGCTATGAGCTGTGCTGCCTTAGGTTGGGGGATAGGTGGCACAAGCACTCCCTTTGCCACCCCAGCTGATATCTCACTAGGTCTTACGTTCCCCAAGTCCACTGGCTGTAAGCTAAGCACAGCACCAAGACTTGCTTGGGAATTGCAGATTTTGTGGCCTAAACTGCCTTTCAAGTTTATTCAGAAACCCAGAGAGCTTTACCCATGGTGGTGAGACTTGCAAGAACTAAACTTCTGACCACTGGAATGGACAATTCCCCTCCGGGTAGGGCTGGTCTAAATGCTCCCTCTGCGGGTGCCAGCTGTGTTCTGCCCTATGTTGCTTTCCACTGTGTCAGGACAGCACTGAGTTCCAAAGCAAAGTTCCACAGTCGCTGCACTCTTTCTCCCCCAAGAGCACAGATACTCTCTCCGAGCCGTGTCAGGGTTGGGGGAGGGAAGATGTTGGCAATTCAAGACTGTCTTTCCTACCTTCTCCAGTGTCTCTCTCAGTGATATGAAGTTAAAACAAGATACTGTGATTGCTCACCTGATTTTTGGTTATTATGAAGGTGTTTTTATGTGTGGCTAGTTGTTCAATTTGTTGTTCCTGCATGGAGGATGATTGCTGGAGGTTTCTATTCGGCCATCTTCCCCATCTCCTCTGGGAAATATCTTGTAACAACCAAATAATATTCCTAATTTCTCCCTCTTGCCACTTGTATAATTGCTGTCATTAATTTTAATTATTATATAAGCATACGTAAGCATATATATATGTGTGTATATATATATGCATACATAGTCAAATGCCTTATTATTTTATTTTTGTTTTTTTTAATATACTTTAAGTTCTAGGGTACATGTGCACAATGTGCAGGTTTGTTACATATGTATACATGTGCCATGTTGGTGTGCGGCACCCATTAACTCATCATTTACATTAGGTATATCTCCTAATGCTATCCCTCCCCCCTCCCCACCCCATGACAGGCCCCAGTGTGTGATGTTCCCCACCCTGTGTCCAAGTGTTCTCATTGTTCAATTCCCACTTATGAGTGAGAACATGTGGTGTTTGGTTTTCTGTCCTTGAAATAGTTTGCTCAGAATGATGGTTTCCAGCTTCATCCATGTCCCTACAAAGGACATGAACTCATCCTTTTTTATGGCTGCATAATATTCCATGGTGGATATGTGCCACATTTTCTTAATCCAGTCTATCATTGATGGACATTTGGGTTGGTTCCAGGTCTTTGCTATTGTGAATAGTGCCGCAATAAACATACGTGTGCATGTGTCTTTATAGCGGCATGATTTATAATCCTTTGGGTATATACCCAGCAATGGGATGGCTGGGTCAAATGGTATTTCTAGTTCTAGATCCTTGAGGAATCACCACCCTGTCTTCCACAATGGTTGAACTAGTTTACAGTCCCACCAACAGTGTAAAAGTGTTCCTATTTCTCCACATCCTCTCCAGCACCTGTCGTTTCCTGACTTTTTAAATGATTGCCATTCTAACTGGTGTGAGATGGTATCTCATTATGGTTTTGATTTGCATTTCTCTGATGGCCAGTGATGATGAGTCTGCTGTTGGCTGCATAAATGTCTTGTTTTGAGAAGTGTCTGTTCATATCCTTTGCCCACTTTTTGATGGGGTTGTTTGATTTTTTCTTGTAAATTTGTGTGAGTTCTTTGTAGATTCTAGATATTAGCCCTTTGTCAGAGGGATAGGTTGTAAAAATTTTCTCCCATTCTGTAGGTTGCCTGTTCACTCTGATGGTAGTTTCCATTGCTGTGCGGAAGCTCTTTAGTTTAATTAGATCCCATTTGTCAATTTTGGCTTTTGTTGCCATTGCTTTTGGTGTTTTAGTCATGAAGTCCTTGCCCATGCCTATGTCCTGAATGGTATTGCCTAGGTTTTCTTCTAGGGTTTTTATGGTTTTAGGTCTAACATTTAAGTCTTTAATCCATCTTGAATTAATTTTTGTATAAGGTGTAAGGAAGGGATCCAGTTTCAGCTTTCTACATATGGCTAGCCAGGTTTCCCAGCACCATTTATTAAATAGGGAATCCTTCCCCCATTTCTGGTTTTTGTCAGTTTTGTCAAAGATCAGATGGTTGTAGATGTGTGGTATTATTTCTGAGGGCTCTGTTCTCTTCCATAGGTCTATATCTCTGTTTTGGTACCAGTACCATGCTGTTTTGGTTACTGTAGCCTTGTAGTATAGTTTGAAGTCAGATAGCGTAATGCCTCCAGCTTTGTTCTTTTGGCTTAGGATTTTCTTGGCAGTGTGGGCTCTTTTCTGGTTCCATATGAATTTTAAAGTAGTTTTTTGCAATTCTGTGAAGAAAATCATTGGTAGCTTGATGGGGATGGTATTGAATCTATAAATTACCTTGGGCAGTATGGCCATTTTCACGATATTGATTCTTCCTATCCACGAGCATGGAATTCTTCCATTTGTTTGTGTCCTCTTTTATTTCATGGAGCAGTGGTTTGTAGTTCTCCTTGAAGAGGTCCTTCGCAACACTTGTAAGTTGGATTCCTAGGTATTTTATTCTCTTTGAAGCAATTGTGAATGGGAGTTCACTCATGGTTTGGCTCTCTGTTTGTCTGTTATTGGTTTATAAGAATGCTTGTGATTTTTGTACATTGATTTTATATCCTGAGACTTTGCTGAAGTTGCTTATCAGCTTAAGGAGATTTTGGGCTGAGATGATGGGGTTTTCTAAATATACAATCATGTCATCTGCAAACAGGGACAATTTGACTTCCTCTTTTCCTAATTGAATACCCTTTATTTCTTTCTCCTGCCTGTTTGTCCTGGCCAGAACTTCCAACACTATGTTGAATAGGAGTGGTGATAGAGGGCATCTCTGTCTTGTGCCAGTTTTCAAAGGGAATGCTTCTAGTTTTTTCCCATTCAGTATGATATTGGCTGTGGGTTTGTCATAAATAGCTCTTATTATTTTGAGATACGTCCCATCAATACCTAGTTTATTGAGAGTTTTTAGCATGAAGGGCTATTGAATTTTGTGAAAGGCCTTTTCTGCATCTGTTGAGATAATCATGTGGTTTTTGTCTTTGGTTCTGTTTATATGATGAATTACGTTTATTGATTTTTGCGTATGTTGAACCAGCCTTGCATCCCAGGGTTGAAGCCCACTTGATCGTGGTGGATAAGCTTTTTAATGTGCTGCTGGATTCGGTTTGCCAGTATTTTACTGAGGATTTTTGCATCAATGTTAATCAGGGATATTGATCTAAAATTCTCTTTTTTTGTTGTATCTCTGCCAGGCTTTGGTATCAGGATGATGCTGGCCTCATAAAATGAGTTAGAGAGGATTCCCTCTTTTTCTATTGATTGGAATAGTTTCAGAAGGAATGGTACCAGCTCCTCTTTGTACCTCTGGTAGAATTCGGCTGTGAATCCATCTGGTCCTGGACTTTTTTTGGTTGGTAGGCTATTAATTATTGCCTCAATTTCAGAGCCTGTTATTGGCCTATTCAGGGATTCAACTTCTTCCTGGTTTAGTCTTGGGAGGTTGTATGTATCCAGGAATTTATCCATTTCTTCTAGATTTTCTAGTTTATTTGCATAGTTTTTATAGTATTCTCTGATGGTAGTTTGTATTTCTGTGGGATCAGTGGTGCCACCCCCTTTATTATTTTTTATTGCATCTATTTGATTCTTCTGTCTTTTCTTCTGTAACAGTCTTGCTAGCGGTCTATCAATTTTGTTGATCTTTTCGAAACACCAGCTCCTGGATTCATTGATTTTTTGAAGGGCTTTTGGTGTCTCTATTTCCTTCAGTTCTGCTCTGATCTTAGTTATTTCTTGCCTTCTGCTAGCTTTTGAATGTGTTTTCTCTTGCTTCTCTAGTTCTTTTAATTGTGATGTTAGCGTGTCAATTTTAGATCTTTCCTGCTCTCTCTTGTGGGCATTTAGTGCTATAAATTTCCCTCTACACACTGCTTTAAATGTGTCCCAGAGATTCTGGTATGTTGTGTCTTTGTTCTCATTGGTTTCAAAGAACATCTTTATTTCTGCCTTCATTTCGTCGTGTACCCAGTAGTCATTCAGGAGCAGGTTGTTCAGTTTCCATGTAGTTGTGTGGTTTTGAGTGAGTTTCTTAATCTTGAGTTCTAGTTTGATTGCACTGTGGTCTGAGAGACAGTTTGTTATATTTTCTGTTCTTTTACATTTGCTGAGGAGTGCTTTACTTCTAATGTGTGGTCAATTTTGGAATAAGGGCAATGTGGTGCTGAGAAGAATGTATATTCTGTTGATTTAAGGTGGAGAGTTCTGTAGATATCTGTTAGGTCCACTTGATGCAGAGCTGAGTTCAATTCCTGGATATCCTTGTTAACTTTCTGTCTTGTTGATCTGTCTAATGTTGACAGTGGGGTGTTAAAGTCTCCCATTATTATTGTGTGGGAGTCTAAGTCTCTTTGCTTTATGAATCTGGGTGCTCTTGTATTGGGTGCATATATATTTAGGTTAGTTAGCTCTTCTTGTTAAATTGATCCCTTTACCATTATGTAATGGCCTTCTTTGTCTCTTTTGATCTTTGTTGGTTTAAAGTCTGTTTATCAGAGACTAGGATTGCAACCCCTCCTTTTTTTTGTTTTCCATTTGCTTGGTAGATCTTCCTCCATTCCTTTATTTTGAGCCTATGTGTGTCTCTACACATGAGATGGGTCTCCTGAATACAGCACACTGATGGCTCTTGACTCTTTATCCAATTTGCCAGTCTGTGTCTTTTAATGGGAGCATTTAGCCCATTTACATTTAAGGTTAATATTGTTATGTGTGAATTTGATCCTGTCATTATGATGTTAGCTGGTTATTTTGCTCGTTAGTTGATGCAGTTTCTTCCTAGCATCGATGGTCTTTACAATTTGGCATGTTCTTGCAGTGGCTTGTACTAGTTGTTCCTTTCCATGTTTAGTGCTTCCTTCAGGAGCTCTTGTAAAGCAGACCTGGTGGTGACAAAATCTTCAGCATTTGCTTGTCTGTAAAGGATTTTATTTCTCCTTTATGAAGCTTAGTTTGGCTGGATATGAAATTCTGGGTTGAAAATTCTTTTCTTTATGAATTTTGAGTACTGGCCCCCCTCTCTTCTAGCTTGTAGAGTTTCTGTGGAGAGATCAGCTGTTAGTCTGATGGGCTTCCCTTTGTGGGTAACCTGACCTTTCTCTCTGGCTCCCTTTAACATTTTTTCCTTCATTTCAACTTTGGCGAATCTCACAATTATGTGTCTTAGAGTTGCTCTTCTCGAGGAGTATCTTTGTGGCGTTCTCTGCATTTCCTGAATTTGAATGTTGGCCTGCCTTGCTAGATTGGGGAAGTTCTCCTGGATGATATCCTGAAGAGTGTTTTCCAACTTGGTTCCATTCTCCCCGTCACTTTCAGGTACACCAATCAGATGTAGATTTGGTCTTTTTACATAGTCCCATATTTCTTGATGGCTTTGTTCATTTCTTTTTACTCTTTTTTCTAAACTTCTCTTCTCATTTCATTTCATTCCTTTGATCTTCAATCACTGATACCCTTTCTTCCACTTGATCAAATCAGCTACTGAAGCTTGTGCATTCATCACGTAATTCTCGTGCCATGGTTTTCAGCTCCATCAGGTCATTCAAGGTCTTCTCTATGCTGTTCATTCTAGCTAGCCATTCGTCTAATCTCTTTTCAAGGTTTTTAGCTATTTTGTGATGAGTTCGAACATCCTCCTTTAGCTCAGGGAAGTTTGTTATTACCGATCTTCTGAAGCCTTCTTCTCTCAACTCCTCAAAGTCATTCTCCATCCAGGTTTGTTCCGTTGCTGGTGAGGAGCCGCGCTCCTTTGGTGGAGAAGAAGCGCTCTGATTTTAGAATTTTCAGCTTTTCTGCTTTGGTTTCTCCCGATCTTTGTGGATTCATCTACCTTTTGTCTTTGATGATGGTGGCATACAGATGGGGTTTTGGTGTGGATGTCCTTTCTCTTTGTTAGTTTTCCTTCTAATAGTCAGAACCCTCAGCTGCAGGTCTGTTGGAGTTTGCTGGAGGTCCACTCCAGACACCGTTTTCCTTGGTATCACCAGCAGAGGCTGCAGAACAGCAAATATTGCAGAATGGCAAATTTTGCTGCCTGATCCTTCCTCTGGAAGCTTTATCTCAGAGGGGCACCTGGCTGTATGAGATGTCAGTCAGCCCCTACTAGGAGGTACCTGCCAGTTAGGTTATTTGGGGGTCAGGGACCCACTTGAAGAGGCAGTCTGTCCATTCTCAGATCTCAGACTCCGTGCTGGGAGAACCACTACTCTCTTCAAAGCTGTCAGACAGTGACGTTTAAGTCTGCAGACATTTCTGCTGCCTTTTGTTCAGTTATGCCCTGCCCCTAGAGGTGGAGTCTACAGAGGCAGGCAGGCCTCCTTGAGCTGTGGTGCACTCCATCAAGTTCAAGCTTCCCGGCCGCTTTGTTTACTACCTAGTCAAGCCTCAGTAATGGTGGACGGCCCTCCCCAAGCCTCGCTGCCGCCTTGCAGTTCAATCTCAGACTGCTGTGCTAGCAGTGAGCAAGGCTCCGTGGGCATGGGACCCTCTGAGCCAGGCATGGGATATAATCTCCTCTGGAAAAGCGCAGTATTAGGGTGGTAGTGTCCTGATTTTCCAGGTACTGTCTGTCATGGCTTCCCTTGGCTAGGAAAGAGAATTCCCCGACCCCTTATGCTTCCCGGGTGAGGCGATGCCCCGCCCTTCTTTGGCTCACACTCCGTGGGCTGCACCCACTGTCTGACAAGCCCCAGTGAGATGAACGTGGTACCTCAGTTGGAAATGCAGAAATCACCTGTCTTCTGCATCACTCACGCTGGGAGTTGTAGACTGGAGCTGCTCCTATTTGGCCATCTTGGAACCTCCTCCCATGATTGCCTTATTATTTTAAATACATTAATGTAGATCAATGAAGAATAAGAAAATAAGCAATTTTATTTTACCTTAATTTATTCTGTTTCTGATGCTCTTTGTCTCTCTATGTAGGTCTGACTTTTTGACCTACATTATTTTCTTTCCCTCCTAGGAATTTTTAAAAGCATTTCTTGTAAGGCAGGGCTACTGAAAACAAATTTCCTCAATATTTGCTTGTCTACAAAAGTCTTTATTTCTCCTTTACCTTTTAAGGGAAATTTCACAACCTACAGAATTCTAGGTTGGTGGGTTTTTTCCCCCTCAATCCCTTAAGTATTTAATTCCTCTCTTCTTGCTTGCATGGTTTGTAAGGAAGAGTCAGATGTAATTTTTATCTTTGCTTCTGTATGGGTAGGGTGCTTTTTCTTCTAGATTTTTTTTCCAGAGTTTTTTTCTTTATCTTTGATTTTCTGTACTTCAAATATATTATGCCCAGGTATAGATTGTTTTTTGTTCTTGTTTTGTTTTCATTTGGCATTTGTTCTGCTTGGTGTTCTCTGAGCTTCCTGGATCTGTGGTTTGGTACATTATATTAATTGAAGAAATTCTCAGTCATTATTGCTTTAAATATTGTTTCTGTTTCTTTCTCCCTTTCTCTTCCCTTGGGTTTTCCCACTGTGCACATGTTACATCTTTTGTCATTGTCCCACAGTTCTTAGATATTCTTTTTTGTTTCTTTTTTTGTTTTTAAGCTTTTTCTTTTTGCTTTTCAGTTCTGTAGTTTCTTGTTGTGAAATCCTTAATCTCAGAGATCCTTTTCTCAGTCATCTTCAGTGTATTAATAAACTCATCAAAAGCATTCTTCATTTCTCTACAGTGTTTTTGATTTTTGTATTCCTTTTTGTTTTTTTTCTTGGAATTTCTATCACTCTGTTTGCATTGCCCATCTGCTCTTGCATGATGGCTACTTTATCTATTAGCATATTAATCATAGTTTTTAAAAAATTCATCCTGGTCTGATAATTTTAACTTCCATGCCATATCTGAGTCTGGTTATAATGCTTATTCTGCTTCTTCAAACCATGTTTTTTAGCCTTTTAGTATGTCTTGTAATTTTTTTTGATAGGCAGGATGTACTGGATGTAAAAGAAACTTATAAATAAGCTGTTAGTAATGTGGTGGGAAGGTTTTGGGTAAAGGAAAATATTCTCTATATAGGTTAATTTGCAATAGCAGCATGTTAGGATAATATTGAAACATAATTTTGAGTTCTAAAGATATGATTTACTTATTGTTTTAAAAACCAAAAAATTTCTCTTCATTTTGATGGTCTTATCTCTTTGAGAATTCAATGAAACAAATCACAATCTGTAGCTGCTCTGACCTCCTAGCAAATACTTTGATATCCTGATTATGGTTTATATGGTCTTCTAGTGGATTCCCAAGATTTACTCTAATGACTCATTCTTTCATTTTTATATGTGTTTATATGTTTATATATATATAAAACACATTTTATATGTGTTTATATGAGCACATATAAACACATTTTTGTGTGCCTGCTGTCTGTCATTCTCTGGGCTATGTACAAGAAGCATAGCAGTTGAGCAGCCAGCAAGATAAATACAGTCCTTGCCCATGAAGAACTCATTTTTTACTACCCTGTCTAGATTGTGACTATGCTGTATACTATTTGAGGGCAGACACTGTGTTAATCTGCCTTCTACCTTCAGTGTACCACTTAGTGCCCACACATGCTTGATACTCAAACACTGTGTCTTGAATAAGTGAACAAATGAACAATGGCAACCTATAATTTCATTTACTTTATCCCACAAAATATTGGCACATCCAGTTAGAGAAATTCACAAGATAATTTTATGTCTTTATAACCTAGGCAATTTTTAAGGTATTTTAAAATTAGTGGTACATAGTTAAACTGGTGTTTTACAGTGAGTTATCCCGTTGTTCTGATATTAGTTCATGGTTAGTAAAGTCAGAGATTTTTTTTCTAGGGAACAGTATAATCACATTTTATTGAATCTTTCCATGCTACACCAAGTTTTTATACTCTTCTGCTTAGTTTACAGATGTTGTACAGATAGCTTCCAACACAGTCCTCACTCTTGCCTGCTAAACTTTTGTAATTCCTCACAGATAATCAATAATTTCGGGAGAATTAGAGTTAGTCCCATACTATATTTTATTCTGACTCTGTATAGAGTGGCCTGAAGAGGAGATGG
The DNA here is from genome assembly GCF_000001405.40 of Homo sapiens. Taxonomy (NCBI): domain Eukaryota; kingdom Metazoa; phylum Chordata; class Mammalia; order Primates; family Hominidae; genus Homo; species Homo sapiens. The sequence goes on along the minus strand of NC_000007.14, from coordinate 115,987,044 downwards.
TATTCTTGCTTTGAGAAAAGTATCTGTGACTTCTTTTGCATGAGTAACATTTGTGACTGTCTCACAACTTCTTGTCTTGTTTCATCTGGATCTTTTCTATTTGAGATTTTCTTTTTATGTTTTTTTATATATACTTATTATACTTTAAGTTCTAGGGTACATGTGCACAACGTGCAGGTTTGTTACATATGTATACATGTGCCATGTTGGTGTGCTGCACCCATTAACTCGTCATTTACATTAGGTATTTCTCCTAATGCTATCCCTCCCCCCTCCCCCCACCCCACAACAGGCCCTGGTGTGTGATGTTCCCCTTCATCACACACTTGTGTGTCCAAGTGTTCTCATTGTTCAGTTCCCACCTATGAGTGAGAACATGTGGTGTCTATTTTTTTGTCCTTGCAATAGTTTGCTGAGAATATTTGAGATGTTCTTTCCTTTGCCTGCTGTGTAGTACTATCTCTCCTTCCAACAGCTGACTTAAAATCACTTTCTCTTTCAATATGTTTTTTTAAAACCACTTCTTTTTAATTTCATTGCATGTGTTATGGAGCTTTTGCTTTGCATTGTGAACATTTCAGTTATTTGCTCAGGAACCGATATTGTACTGCTGAGGAAGACAGGCTCTGTATTCCACTTCTTTCTCTCACTAGCTGAATGGTAATAGGTATGCCATTTAAACTCTCTAAATTTTAGTGGCTTCATCTATATAGTGCAATAGGGATACTAACTAATGGTACCTATCTCCTAAGGTTAAAACAAGAATGGAGTAAGATAATATATGTAAATTGTTTAGCATAGTGCCTAGTATCTGTTGCTTAATATTATTATCATTGTTGTTGTTGCTATAGTTGATATTAACACTTCCCAATAGATTGTAAACTCCTATAACCTTGGGATCACATCTGTGACTTCTTTTGTATTCTTGATATAACACAAGAGTAAGTGCTTCAATGAGGCTTTTGGAATGAATGGATGAAAAGTAAAAAATGAATTAGTTAATGCATGTTGTAAATTCTGATTCAACATATTCTTCTTAGAACAAGAGCTATTTCCCAATTGTAGGTATACAATGTTCTTTGGCATTCAGTTGCATAGTGTGAAAGATCATTCAGATTTGTGAAACTGAAAGTGTTCTTCATAATGTATATTTCATAAAAGTATACAGATTAAAAAGAATTAATTTAGAACAGTAGGATAATATAAATAGCTACCCTAAAAAAATTACCACTGGCATTTTAATGAAATGTTATTTTACAACTTTAAAGCTCATAGCAATATAATTAGTAATATGTGTAATCTTTATTACCAATCTTAATCTTTTTTATATGACTGAAAAATTATTTTATGCTAGTACAATTAAAATAATGCTAAAAATGTCAGCATAACAGAATTAAACTAAAGTAACTACTACAATATTGTACCCCAAACCAGCTAATTTAAATGCAAAATACTTTGTAGAGGCTATTTATCTGGGCTAATGCATGTTAAGGGATTTAAGGAGTAGTTTGTGTAACTGAAATAAAAGGAAAAATAAGCACTGTACAGCAATCTTTACTATTGTTTAACATGAGGGAAATATTAAATCGGTTTATATATAGGCCACTTGAGAAAAATGTATTAGAAGCCACAGAATAGCACAGTAAATATAAAGACTACTGCCAGGCAAAACTACGTTCACAGGCTTTTAAAGGGCAGATTTGAAATGCTTAAAGTTGTCCTTACACAAATGATAGTACAATATTAACTATGATAACTAGACTGAAGGTGTAAAATTTTGAAAGTATGTGGTATATTTTGAAAAAGGGATTTTGGCAGACTGGACAGTTGTTTAGCTGACACATGACAATCGTTAGATTTTTTTCTGAATGCTCCTGTCAAGTCATAATAATGACTATACCACTTTCTCATTTTTATAAGGTGAAAATATGAAAGGGTTTAAAAATAAGATTAAAAAAATAAAACTGGGCTCAGGATAGAAATAGGGAAGTACAGAAAAGTAGAAAAAAATCATCTAGATTTTCACTACCCATACAGTTTCACACTTAATATTTTGTACATATATTTCTAGTTCCTGCTCTCTTATAATTTTTAGTTTTCTTAAGAACAAAGTTTTGATCATATTCCATAGAATATTTATGTGTAATATAAAGGAATCCAAGTAATACATGTTATATACAAATTACTTGTAATAGTGAATCATCTGTATTTTCCTTACGTTATTTTAGGCCCTCATTTTTTAGACCCTCAAAAAATATTGTGGTTTTTATATTTATTCCTAATTTTTAGGGCTACTCATTTAAAAAAACTGGTTAGCATTTAAAATATTTTATTAAAGTTTAAATTACTTCTTAATAATCATAACCCATTAAAATTGTATGTAACTTATGACAGAAGTATGGACGATAGATTGGAGAGAAACTAGATGCTATAGTGTAGTGTGTTTATTATCCTAGTGCAATTGTGGAAAGGAGAACTCTAATTTCACAGCTGATGCTGCACATTGTATTTGTTTAATTTTGATCTTGTAGGTCCCAGCACACCTGGAAAGTTCTGCAAGGCCTCAGCTACAGAAAGCCCAGAGACAGAAAGTAAACTCTTTCATGACCCTTGATCATCAGATCATCAATCCAACTCTTAAATGGTCACAACCTGCAGTGCCAAGTGGTGGGCCTCTTGTGCAGCATGCACACACAACTCTGGACAGTGATGCTGGCCTCACAGAAAACCCACTCACCAAGTTACTAGCTATTGGGAAAGAAGATGACAATGCACAATGGCATGTATGTCTAATGGCTGGTTATAAAAATATATCATCAGTTTTTGAAAAAACCTCTATTAAAGTAATTGAAGTCAACATTTTACAGTAAACATTCTGATTGCAAATGTAACAAAAGAAATGTGCTTTTAATTAATTATTCTCTATTTATTAACTATATGCATATAAATTCCTATGCATAATAAATTATAAAAATTCTTGTTTAATATGCACTTCAAATATGTATTAATGTGAATTAAAATAGACACTAATAGTGGTATGTGTTTAGAAGATTTAGCCCTAATTGTAAATGTTTTCTGATAAATTTAGTTGAAATATTTATCAGTAGTTAAATTGTCTTAAATATCCATTAACATAAAACAGACAGAAATTACTTAAATAGCAGTAAATTTTTGCTGTAGAAATTGACTATTAGAATAAGACTAATAATTTTATTGCACTTATATGAAATTATATCTGGATCTTTTAACTTTTGCTTTTCTATACATTCAATTCTATTTTTAATAAATAGTTGGCTACTATTTACTAAATAACCGAAATTTAGAGGTGCTGATCATACAAAATAAATGAGTATTTAGCTTCATGGAGTTTATATTTATTGTGACTTGCTTGTAATGAACCTTCAGAAAATGTTGAAGTATGAATAGAACTGGGAAACACTGATACTAGAAAAAAGACTTCCTTTAATGTTTCAGTATAAAAAACTACATTAATAACTGAGCTTTCTTTTCTTTTTTTCCATTAGATTTGTTGATAAAGCTATGGTCCTATGATCTCCCAGGTTTAATCTCCCAATCTACATTCCTGGTGTTTATTGCCGATTTCAGGTCAATGCTTACCATCTATTAAGCCTGTAGCCTCCAGGCACAAAAGGATAATGCTCAGAATCCCATTATTTAAATTCCAAATGATAGAGAATTTTTTTAAACAAATTTTATGTTAACCTGGAAAAGAGAAAAAAATAAGGATGTGGCAGATTGTTAATAAAAAATAAAACAATAAAAAAAGGGACTTTTTGAAATCTAAAACCGAATGTAAATACCTACATGTATATTTACTCAAACTTTACAGTAGTGGATATATAAAAAACTTTCCTAAAAAATGAATGTAGAATCAGTTTCTCTATTCAGTCTATGAAGATTGTAAAAATATATATCAGATGAAATAATCTGTTCAGTAAATGTTAGATCTACACACAGTACAGTTTATCCTACAACTACTTCTCCCAAAGTTCATTTTCTTGTGTGAAAGGTTGATTTCTAAAGAGAAAAACAAATCTTGAAGGATATGCATATGCCAGTTAATTCTAGGTAAAATCTAGAAATGATTTTATTATATATTTTATAAAATATGTACTCTAAAAAATGAGAATGGAAAAGCAACATAGATCAGCTTTCTGCCTTTTATTTACTTTTTTTATTCTTTAAGCACACATCTTACCTTTGCTTTTATCCTAAGTTTGTATATATAAAGAAAATTCACATGTTTTTAGTGGTCTTTGGGTGCTCTCAATCAAATAATCTCATGGCTCAGAAGGGTTGAAAGTCCCAAGAATTGCTCTGGCCTTGGGGCAATGTGAACGAACAATGGCTATAGACAATTTTTTTCTATTTTTTTAAACCATCATATTTTAAATTATGTATACAAAAGTATCTCCCAACCATCATTAATGTCCATTTAATCACAGTTTTACTGAGTCTGTAATAGTTTTAATCAGTGTGTGGTCTCTTTGAATTTGGTATGTTTATACATTTTCACATACTGCCATCATTCACAGACTTACTATCTTTGATAGCTAGGATATACCCTGTGTTGTCGCAATAGTCTAATACTTTTACTGGTTCTTGGAGTCTGACTCAAGGCAGAAAGTGTATAGTCTTTGGATATAGTCAGTATAGTATAGCTGTGTGGTTTCAGTCCTTAATTTCTCTCACCCATGTGTGTACACATTGTAGAGTTGTTTTGATGCTTGAATTTTAAATTTTTAACACAAGGGCAGAGTGGGAGCCCAGGAGATGGTGTCTGTTGCCATCTTTTGTTTTTTTTTGTTTTTTTTTTCTCCCAAGCCTTTTCCACCTGTGACATCAGGGAGCATTTCATCAATTCAAAGAAGACCCCAGAAATCATAGCTACCACAGGATAAGTCTGAGAACAGCTTTAGATTCAGGATTTGGTAATTGGAATTAGGAGTAACTTGAAGACTGAAAATCTTTAAGATGAAATGTAAAATCAAAAGAAGCATTTTGTAACATGGGTCTTTCTGAGATACAATTCAAACTTCTACCCATAGCACATGGACCCTTCTGCACTTAACCCTTGCACCTGGCTCAGACTTATCCTTCAGTATCCCCATAGAGCTTCATGTTTCAGCTCTATGGGTTTACCACTGGTTCTCATGGTGGCGGGGCTCTCCTTCTTACACCTTTTCTTTACCTCCTGCTTATTTGATCATGACCGTTTGTCTGGATAATTCTAGCTCACCCTTCAAAATTCATTTCAGGTTTCTTGTCTAAGGTGCTTTCCCTGGTGATGCTCTGTCTGGGCTTAGCGCCTGTTATCTGAGTTTTCATAGCAACGCTGATATCATATGGATAACAATTGCACTTTTCATGGCATTCTCACAGCACATGCTACATTTTAATTATGCCTTTTTTCTTTTTCTTATCTTTTAGTCTGTTAATTGCTTGATGAAAATACAATACCTTATTCACATTTTAATATCTAGCTCCTAAGATGAATTTCTGCCAATTAATAATCAGTGCATATTTTTGGCAAATTTATAAGTTAATAATGAGTACCCTTATTTCAATAATATTTCTCTACTTGCTGTTATTAGTACAGTGATACTTTAAGTAATGTGGTATAATTTGAGAAGAACCATTAGAAAAGTGAAATCAAGGTATTCTAGAAACTCAGAAGATAAATTTTTTCAATGTGAGGTCTCAGGAAATTCTGGAAGTGGTAATACTTGAGTTGGGTGTTGAAAGACATATACATCAACAGCAAAGATGACGGAAGATAATTTTTTTGAGTAGAGAATGCTGTAAGCTAAGGGCAGAGTAGACAAGCATAAGTGGGTTTGAGAGTGATACAATTTGGTACAAATAAGTGACTGAGGTTAGAAAGGAGGATTAGGGTGGGGCTACAGGACTTAAATGCAGATCTGGGAACTTAGAACATGATTCCAAGGTAGTGGGGGACTGTATCAATTAGATCTGCATTAGGAACATGCAAGAGAAAATAACTTCCCATGATTTAACTAAATGAGAGTTACAAATTTTTCTCCCATAATAATCTTATATTATCTCATATAATCTTATGCAATTATGTCTTATAATTATTAACAACATAGAATATTAACAGTGATATTAACAACAAAAATAAGAGAGTATTCATTTAGTCTTTATGTCAGGTGGTATTTTAAATTAATTTTTTAAACAGCACTATGGTTTACTATTATCTCCTTTTTTTGTTTTTGTTTTTTTTTGTTTTTTTTGTTTTGTTTTGTTTTTGTTTGGCGACAAGTCTCCCTCTGTTGCCCAGGCTGGAGTGCAGTGGCACAATCTTGGCTCACTGTAACTTCCACCACCTGGGTTCAAGAGATTGTCGTGCCTCAGCCTCCCAGGTAGCTGGGACTACAGGCACAAGCCACCACGCCCAGCTAATTTTTGTATTTTTAGTAGAGACGGAGTTTCGCCGTATTGGCCAGGGTGGTCTTGAACTCCTGACCTCAAGTGATTCACCTGCCTTGGCCTCCCAAAGTGCTGGGATTGCAGGGATGAGCCACCATGCCCAGCCCCTATTATCTCCATTTTTAAAACAGGGCAACTCCCATGAAAAGTAGGCCAGAAGTAGGTAGTCAGAGGCTGTTGTAGTTCTCTGTGATGTCAACATAGATCAGTTCTTCCTCTTTCTTCTTCACTATGTGACTTTTATCTTAATGGGCCTCATGTGATCACAAGGGGGCTGCTTCATCTCTCAGGCCCTCAAACCAGATGGACAGTAGAGAGAGAAGCTAGGAGAATGCCTCCATGAGGAAAGGAAAAATTTTGCAGGAATTCACAAGAGACTTATGCTTATGACTTAGTCAAAACTGTGTCACATGGCCACATTTAGCTGATGTGAAGCTGAGAAAAATGCATTTTTCTTCTGAGCATATTGTTTCATCAAAAACATTAGTAAGAAAGAAGAAGAAAATTGATATTTACTACACAACTCTCAATGGATCTGCTGTGGGAACAAGTTTTTGAGTACAAAAGTATCATAATCAAAGCAATGCTTCAGAAACATTTAAATGGCGGTTGAGAGGGAAAGAATTGAGGTTAAGTTTCATGCTACATGAACAGATGACAGAATATTACAGTGCAATTTAGTTATAGCCTGAATCAGGAAAATTGGTGGTAGAGAGAATAAAAGAAATGAACTCAGGGGTAATGTTGATGCGTCTCAGTGTCATATTGTATACGAAAGTGAAGGTGGAAGATGAGTTTGGTGCAATTTTGAGATTTTTGAGCCTTTACAGGATGAATAACATACATAGATGAAGGGACTGTTAAGAGAAGTATGGTAGTTAGAAGGAGTGTAGAGTTTGGCATGAAAGTGATGATGAGTTAACTTAGGACAACCAGGAGAAGAGGTTCAAAGGACAAATGAAAATAAAAAATCTATTTCTCAAAAAAGAACTTAGAACGGTCAATAAGATTTCATTTATTTCTTCATTCAGACAGCTGTCATTGCCACATGCTCAGGGAACAAACTGCACATCCTATATAATCTATACCATATAGGAGCTTCAGGTTGAGGGCAAGAGAAAAAATTAACAAATAATTATAATATTATATAAAAAGACTTAGAGGAAAATGACTAGTAGGGCATTTAGCCAGATGGGATAGCATGAGCGCAGAATAGAGATGGGAAGCAGTGTGAAATGAATAGAAAAGAAGGCAGATGGTGGTAAAAGATGACATCAAAGAAGTAAGTAATCAGCAAATTACAGAGAGGCTAGTACTCCATGTTAAACAGTATCAAGTCACTGTAGGGTTGAAACTTGGGACCTAGGGTAACATAATCAGATTTGACTCTAGATCACTTTGTCAGCTATATAGAGGGAGAAGTCTGGAGTCAGGGATAGGGAACAGCTGGGAGTCTATTTCTATTGTGGGTGTGAGAAAGTGAGACTCTCCCTTAAAACATGTTGAACTGTGGTATCAGTGAGATCATCACGTGGAGATGTTGGTGACAGCTAGATATCCAAATCTGCTGGACTGGAGGAAGAGATTTGAGGTTGTCAGCATACGGATGGTCTTTGAAATCTTGAATGAGAAATAAATCCCCTTGAGAACCTGAATACAGTGAGGAGAGTGATAGCTAAAGATACTCTTTTGAAGATGACCAACATTTAAGGGATGGTTAGAAGAGAAAGCCCATAAAAGTAAAGTAAAAAGATAACTGGGAGAGTGCAATGTCATTGATGCCAAAGAAAGAATTAGTTTAGAGAAGGAGGGAGTGATTCACACACCCAAATATAGCAGATGAGTCTAGTAAAATAAGAACTGATCAATATCTGTTGAACTTGGCAAAGAGTGAATAAAAATAACAACAAAAGGGATGTCAGTAGGATGGTGAGCAGAAGCCATTCTATTTTGAATTCAGAGTTAATAGAAGGTGGAGAGATTGACTATCTGGGATGTTTGGGATAGTTGGACAGAAAGGTAACAGAGCAAAGGCATAACGGGTCATAAAATAAAAATTGTTCAGGTGATCTGCCAGTGTTCAGACTGGATCTAAAACAAAGGCTGCATTTGATGAGTAAGATCATGGATTTTAAGATTTTTAGGTTTATGTGCTGAACTATCAGATTTAGAGAGTGCTGAGTTAAAATATTCAACTGCAAGTGTTGATGTACTTTTCCACAGAATTCTGACAGTTGTATATATTTTTAGGTGTATACGTGTTCATGATCACTTGGTATTATTTTTCCTTTAGATTTTAACCTTGAATTTTATATTGCTTAATATGAATACCACTACTGTGGATTTCCTTTTGGTTATATTTATGATACCTTTTTTAACCTTGTTTCAGCTTTTTCTGTTGTTTACTTTTAAGTGTGTCTCTTATAGACAAAATATTACAAAACCTTTTAAAAATCCAATTCAAGAGAGAGTTTCTCAATCAGTATGTTAACTCATTTATATTCTTGTACTTACTTTACTATTAGGATTTAACAGTTACAATTTCTTATGTTTTAAGTTACTATGCTTTCCGTTTCTTTGCCCTCTTTTTTCTATCTTCCATTGGTCAGTTTTTATCTTCTTTTCTGTTTGTTACTTCTAATATTTTAAGAGTCATCATTATGTTTTTTTCTACATCTATATCCTTGTTTAACATTATATATGACATACTCTTAAGTAAAAATCTACCTTAGTATGGTCTCATCTCCTTGTTGTCACCCACCTTTCTGAATTGATATTTATAGAATTTATCTATGTATAGAATTCATGTATATATATGTACTTATCTATAGAAATACATATGTAATTATTATGCATGTATGTCTCTCTCTACATATATCTAGAGTTACTTAGATCACAAACATTTTACTGTTCTTTACTCATTCTTTTGTTTTGTATCAGTTTCATGGTTTTATTTATCTTCTGACTGGAGTACTCCTTAAACTGTTTTTAAAAGGTATTTTTGCCTTAAAGTTTCTGAGTTTTTATATCCAAAAAGAATTTAATTTCATCCACATACTTAAAAGATACTTTGTTGGCTATAAATATGTAGGTTCAAAGTTCTTTACCTTTAATATTTCTAGTATTATCCCATTTTCTTCTTGCACTCAGTGTTGTTAAAAAGTTTTGTTCTTTTGTAAACCTTTATTTTCACATATCTGAAAACATAAATGTTTTCCTTTGTCCTTGAATCTTATACTTTCTATGCCTATTATCTCCATTTTTACTTTTGTCAAGCAATTTGCTCTTTCTTTGTATTCTTATGATCTTAATTTATTATTTTGAGGATGCTTACTTGCGGGTTTGTAATTCTTATTTTGTCTGATCTATTAATTCTGTTTCATCTGATACAAAATGGTGTGTTTTTTGTCTTTTTAAAATAACAAATGGATTCTTGGGTTTTTAATTATGGAGATACTTAGAAGTTGTGAAGGTTTTAGGCTGGGTTTTAGATTTTAACATCCATTAAGATAATGGTAAAACTGAAATTAGGGAAAAAAGTAGTCATGTAGGTAGATGACAGAAATGAGGGATAGTAGTGTTAAAGGCAAAGGCACAGCCTCCAAAGGAGGATGTTTCTCATGTAACAAAGAAAAGTTTCTTTCTGGAATAAGGGAAACCTAAGCATGCTTTATAGTCAACATGAAAAATTAAACAGACCGTGTCATTTATGACGTAAGCTTCCAGAGAGAAAATAGATGAATGACTTATGTGTAACTTTTACTGAATCCACTCCAAGTATCCAAATGAAAAGCACTCCTCATAAATTATGTTTAGCAATCTTCTTTCCTCAAATCTTCTTCACATCTGTTCAGTACAAGGTTTTTGCCCGTTTAGTGGTAGAATATAAGTAAAATATCACAAAATAAAAATTCAAGTTTAATAACAATCAATAATTTACTTAAAGAATTTCAGAGACTGGACCAAACAAAAGAAACAAAATATGCACATCTATTAACCTAGCTTCTTTAAAGATCTCTCTGTGCACAAGGATTTAACATCTGACCATGGCTAGAGCTACACCCTCCACTGTAGTACCCATGAACCACATGTGTCTATTTGAATTTAAAGTTAGTACAAATTCAGTAACTTATTTATTTTTATTTTTTGGAGATGGGGTCTCACTCTGTCACCTGGGCTGGAGTGCAGTGGTGCAATCTCTGCTCACTGTAGACTCTGCCTCCGGGGTTCACATGATTCTCCCACCTCAGCCTCCCAAGTAGCTGGGACTACAGGCACACACCACCACGCCTGGCTAATTTTTGTATTTTTCAGTAGAGACAGGGTTTCATCATGTTGGCCAGGCTGGTCTAGAACTCCTGACCTCAAGTGATCTGCATGCCTCAGGCTCCCAAAGTGCTGGGATTGCAGGTGTGAGCCACTGCACCCGGCCAAATTCAGTAACATTTAAAAAAATTAAATGAAATTAAAATTTCATTTTCGCAGTTACACTAACCACATTTCACGTATTTAGTAGTCATATGAGGGCATGTGGTTAGTTATTACTATTAATACATTGGTCATTTCAGATGTAGGACATTCCCATCATTGCAGAAATTTCTACTGGATACCACTGGCCTTGAGGATTCTGTGATGTCAGTTTCTTGCATACTTTTCCACTTCATCTCTAACCGCTCTTGCCTTTGCGCACTCTGCTCTATTCCCATTAGTGCTCATTCTTTCTCAAACATGTTGAACTTGTTCCTACTTTAGGTGTTTCTTATTGTTTTCCCAAGGATGACCCTTTCCCATGTTAATCTTATGTCTGTTCAAATGTCAGTAAATCTTCTCTGATGCACTTTATAAAATAACAACCATTTTCATCAAGCCGTATCCTCTACCTGCTTTAATTTCCTCAGCCCACTATTTGTTATTAAGCTGTTTATGGGTCTGTTTCCTTAAGACTTTGAGCTGCATAAGAGGAAGAATTTCCTGCTGTTGGCTATGGTAGCTCCAGTTCTAACCACAAGATCTCACAGTAAACATTGCTTAATTAATATTTGTTAAGATATGAATAGTGTTCCATATTTTTTGGAGTATCTTAGTAGAATTCTCCGAACACTCAATTCTCTTAAGTTCCTAGATATCTTGCTTTGAAGATAACATCAATAGAATTATAAAATATTTTTCCATATCTATTAGAGTGTACTCCTGACTGTATCTGCATATATCATGGGAAATTCACAGTACTGTAGTTATATAAATAAAACATTCACAATATATTTGAGTTTATATCACATTTAAAAATTTAACTAAATGGAATATGATGGAAGCAAAGAGAGCTAGAGCAGAGAGAGAGAAAGAGAGAGAGAGAGAAGCAACCATTTTTTTAAACATATAAACTTTAAAAATCTCCCCTAGCTAAAGTACAGAAGGGAAGGAAAGTTTCTATTTTAGAAAAGAACTGAGAAAGGAAATAGAAAGCCAATAAGATTTGGACTATAGAGCCAAATTTCTAGGATGTCAGTCCTTCCTCCACCACTCACTCACTATATAATCTGGGACAAATTATTGAATTTTTTTCTCTCAGTTTCCTTTTCTATATAGCAAAGTACTCATTTCATTGAGTGATTATAAGTATTAAATGAATGATGTATGTAAAGCACTTAGAAGCATGCCTGGTACCTCTCATGCACTATAAAAGTGATTTTTATTGTTACTATTTAAAATGTTCATAATTATTGCTGTTTTTGTTATTGCTATTGCTATTACCTATTATTATTGGTCTTTAGAGAAGGTAGGATGAAATGTTTCCGTCTCTTCTATATCTACAGGAATGTACTGGGTAATATTTAACCATGAATATTTAGATATCCACATGTAAGATGCAATCAGAACATTTTAAAAGAAAAATAAAGTTTGTAGAAAGTAATCTCTGTACATATTAACTATAGGGACCCTATCTGCCTTGAGATATTTCATGATAACCACTCTATTTATGTAGATACTGATTTCCAAGAGACTAGCCCAGGGTGATTTGTCAAGTTGTCACCTGTCAGCCTTTGGACACAAATGCAAGAAAAAGCAACAGACCAAAGATTGTCAGGATTCCTGCATTTTCAATGCTAAAGTAATCTGTGTTTTTATATATATATATATATATATATATATATATATATATATATATAATATTGAGGTTTTATATATATGTATATATAACCTCAATTTAAATTGTCTAAAAACTTTTAAAGATTGCTAGAATTTTTCTCTCTGTTTTCAGACTGAAGCACAACTTTTATCATTATGTACAATATTCTAAATGTATTATATTTTGCTAGATGGAGGACGTTATTGAGGATATAATCGGTATGGAATCAAGTTTTAAAGAGGAAGGAGCAGACTCTCCTCTGCTAATGCAAAGAACAGTAAGTGCTTTCAGACCCAAGAAGGTCATTGAAACAGAAATGAATACACTCTGATAATAAAAATATTTGATTAGCAACTGGTGCTTTTTTCTGCACTTTTTAAACAGACAAGATAAAAGATGAATACTAGAAAATATTTATTGGTGCAGAAAAAAAGGTTATCTAATGGTTGAAGAATATAGTGCTTGTACTAATCTCTCTCTCTGTCTCTCTCTGTCTAATCCTATATACATGCATCTAACTATATATCTAATTTGCTAGCATTTTCTGTAAGGAATTTAATCTTTAGATTTTCTATTTTAAGCACAGCAAGTAATCAAACACTCTTAAAAGGTCATGACTAAATTTTGACTATTTTACCATGACTAATACAGCTTTCAGATTTAGAGGCTCTATACCTTTGTAGAAGAAAGAAAATATTACAACAATGAAAAATATAAATTTACTTCTAAGCCAATAGCCAGAGGTTAAAGTCAAATCGAAAAAGATAGAACAGGCCTCACCCTCCTTTAAAGTATGTAGAAAGACTTCTATGTTGAAATCAGTACAAATTCCTGCAATATGAAGGGATAGTGTATTATCTCCTATTTGCTTGCTATGCGCCTTCTGATTGTTCATTTATGAATCATAAAAATGTTATCTGTAAAGGGTGTGTAAGCTCTTTCAACATATTTTGAAGGATTATTGTTTGTTTGTTTACAGTTTACAATCTTTTAGAGAACAGGAGAAAAAAGAATCTCAAAGATCGCAATTGAATTGTTACTTTAAATATTTAATTTAAAAAAAGTGAATTCTGACTATATTGAGTTGTGGACTATTCATCTATAAGTCAATAGGCTAGACTACATTATGATGGATGTTTTCAATTTAGGGCCTAGAAAAAAAATGGTGGAAGCATCCCTTTTTTCTGTATCAATTCTTAAGTAGACTATCTAATGAGAGAAGTGTCTCTTTCTCCTTTTCTCTAGTATGCAGGACCTCCACATAGTGCTAGTCAAGTCACCAGTACTAACTCTACCTGCTAAATATCAGATGAGGTTTCAAATCTGTTTTTTGTTGCAGGATTTTTTTTCAGTTTTCATTTTTTTAAATATAGAATGATGACTCTACCTTTTTTCTCTTCAGATTTCAAGTAGCCATAGTGACATGAAAACTAATTCTCTAGATACATTTGATATTAATGCTAATATCTCCCTTTCTAATTTCACAGCATGAGGATCCTATTTTCTTAAGCAATATTCAACTTCTGAGCTTGAGGAAATGATATTAATTTCCTGCAGCCTTCTCTTCTTTGTACATGGTACTTACTTCATTGAAATTGTATACTGAAACATTCTCTGTCAAATTATCTACTTGTTTTGTAGAGTCTTTGTAGAATGGTTTACTCAGTAAAAAATTGGTGATGAATTTCATTGGGAATATGTGTTTGATATACACAATGTACTTTTACATAGATGGATACTACTGGTCTAAGTGTATTTACATAAAGAAATATCTGCTGTTAACTAACCAAAGATAACTGATAATTTAGATCCACATGTAAAACAAAGCAGTTCAATTAACCAAATATTTACTGAATACTTATTATATGTAAAGCATAATATTCACACAATATGAGACTGCAAGTTGAGTGAGGCACAATTCACATGTCAAGAGATGACAATATAATGGGGTAGCACAATGAGTTGTACCTGAGAGAGGGCGGGAAAGAATGTGGAACTTGGGTCAAACCCATTTCTAGTCCAGACATTGTGCAAATCACGTAACCTGCCTTTGCTTTGGTATCTATTTCTGTATTATGGGAATAATGAAAAATATTGGTCTCTGAAGGCTGTTTTAATTGATATCTTATAGACTACATGTGTTCATTTTGAATGCTAGTCAGAGATTTGCTCTGCAGCTCAAATGAAGGAGAAACCATGAGAAAGTGAGAATTTTTGGAAGTCCTTTAGAAAGAGGTGATGTTTGAAATATAGTTATGAAGTACTGTATAGTTAAGATTTTAAGAGATAGACATGAAGGCAGAAAAGTAGCAAGTTAAGAGAACAACATAAGGCAAGAAGTGAGAAAAAAGAGAATGTACAAGAATAGCTGGTAGAATAGGGGTAGGAAACTCTGAAGGATTTTTATAGTTTATGTAGATAAAAGCAAAGACTTGTTAGATTCAGAAAAAAGCTTTGAGTAAGTATATTAGCCAGTGAACTTTTGGTTGCAGGTGGTTAACCTGACTCATAAGGGGCTTAAGCATGAAAGGAATTTATTGGTTCATGCCATCTAAAAATCCCTAAGTAATATTGTATGTGGGCATCCCTTTGTAAATTTGTCTCTGTTTTCTTCTGTGCTGGCTTTATTCTCAGCCATTGAACAGACACTGTCATAGCCTATTCCCAGCCATGCATACACTTTTTTCTTGCTAACCTAGTTTTTTTTCAGACATCCATTCCTTCACAAGAAAGAGGAAGTTTCTGATTAATTTAAACCAATTCTGGTGGCCCCATTTCCTTTGCCAGAGATTGTTTTAAGAATGGGCTTGTGCTGCAATTCTGGCAAGTTGAGCAGGATACTGAGACCTGCTTGGAAGTTTTCTTCAGTCTGTAATTTCAAGAAAGAGAAGGCTTTTTGCTTCTCCATGATTTATGGGGCTTCTGTAGCCTTTTTTTTCCCCCCAAAAGGTAGATAAAGTGAGGAAAAACAAAAGAAACAAAGGGAAAGAGAAAATCAACAGATATGGAAAGAAATGCTGCTTATATGCCCCTGGAGAATTATTTTGCCTATGGATATGTAAGGTTTTTTTTTTCTTTATTTTATAAGCCAATTATATCAGGATTTTCTGATTCTCAAAAACAAATGCATCCTAATGGAAACATTCAGTTAGTACGGGATACCTAAGAGGAAGTATTTTTCTTCTTAGTTCCAGTTAAAGCTCTGAGATAATGGAGCAGCTTCTGTCACATATCTATTTCTAAGCCAATGTCTCTGGGTCTTGGGCCTACCCTAGAGCTGTGGCTTGAACAGCCCTCCACAACAAATTGCCCAGACTAAGAGTGAGAACCAAGAAAGCAGTAGTCGTTACCCAAGCAAATGTGAATGGATTCTAGTCAGGCTAAATTAACAGATGTTTATTAAAATAAGCTTCAAAAATGAGAATATTTACCAATAATTATTATTATGTTTACCTACTATATGACATGGGTTGTCTGCGTTAGTCCATTTTACATTTCCATAAAGGAATACCTAAGGCTGGGTACTTTTTAAAGAAAAGGGGATTATTTGCCTCACGGCTCTGCAGACTGTATACGTGAAGCATTACCCTGGTATCTGCTTCTGGTGAGGGCCTCAGGAAGCTTTTAGTCATGGCAGAAAGGAAGGGGAGCCAGAGTGTCACATGGTGAGAGAGGGAGCAAGAGAGAGGGGAGAAGTTGCCATGCTCTTTTAAATAACTAGCTCCTATGTGAATAATTGTCCTAGTTCATTATCTAAAGCTAGCCCTACCATTTGTGTCTGGGATCCCTTCCAAAGGACTTTTCTTCTCTAAATAGCTCCTCCTTCTAGATCATGAATATATGCTGATCTACTGTATTATAAATATCAGCATTTATCAATCTTTAATAACACTCACTAAAAGCAAACCTAACCAAACAGCACCCTTTAAACGCATTTCCTCTCTGGCTACTAGGCTATTTCATGACTCCTTTACATACAGACACAAAAAAACTCACTGCCCCCATTTTCTCCCTGCCTCGACTTCCTTCCCTCTCATTCTCTCCTCCCCAATAGGGCTTTTGTCCTCACAATTCTAAAAGGGCTCTGAAAACCAATCAATAGCAAGCCAATCAATAGCAATCAATAGCAAACTAATCCAGTAGCAAATTCTCCATTGTCACCTGACTTGGCTCCTCAGTGGCATTTAACATGGTTCACCACTTCCTTCTTCTTGAAGAGCTATCTGGGGTTCTGTGGATTCTCTGATTTTTCACTCATTTTACTGGTTCTTTTTCTTCTCACAGATGTCTAAATTCTGGAGTGTCCTAAGGCTCAGTCTTTGGTCCTCTTTTCTCATATATCAATACATGTCCTATAGGTAACATCAACACATCTCTAGCCTAGATCAATCCCCTATATGCCAGACTTATATATTCTACTGCTTACTTGATATCTTTTGTGGTTCTAACAGGTATCTTAAACATAGCATGGCTGAAAAGAAGTCCTTCCTCCAAAATCTGCTTTTAGTTGATGTGAAAGAAACAAACAAAAATGGTCATTCTTTGCTTTTCTCTCTCTTACTCCCATACTCACATCTATCAATATGTTTTTGTAATCTACATCCAAGATTTCCAGAATCTCACAGGTTCCTATCATGTCCTCTTGTAAAACAAGTTCCATCATCTCTCCCTACAGCCACAGGCTCTGACCTAGCTTTCCTGCTACATTTTGTTCCCTTACAGCTGTTCTTCACAGAGCAGCCAGAATAATCTTCCTAAAGAAATAATCAGATCCTGTTTCTCCTTGCTTAACATTTTATTAACTTTCTGAAATATTCGGAATATAATCCAGACACTTTATTATAGTCAGCACTTCCCTTTGACTTCAGGGTCTGGATTCAATGGCATCCTTTCTCCTCAAACATGACAGGAATATTATCATCTTACAACCATTGCACTTCCTTTGCTTAGTTTGGAATGCTTTTGTCTCAGATCTTTGCATGGTTACCTCTTTATGATTCAGATCTTTAGTCAATGTCAGCTTGTCAAAGGGGCCTTTCACAATTACCCTAACTCCATGACTCCTCAAATCAATGTCTTATTTTATTTACCCTCTGACTTATGAGTAGTGTAACACAAATGATCTTCTTTATTACTGCATTTACCTATTTATTCTATGCTTCCCCCTGTAGAATGCAAACCCCTTGAAGACAGGGATTTTGTATGTCTCATTTACTGCTGTGTCTCTGGAGCCTAAAACAGTAGCCTGTTTTGTTGTTGTTAGTACCCAGCATAGTGACTAACACATCACAGGTGCTCAGCAAATGCATGTTAAATAAATGACTAAAATTCACACATAGTATTGAAATAATTGTTTTCATTATAATTCCTATTCAGGAATACTTTATTCTTGTTGCAGTAGCATGGTACTACTGCAACAAGAATAAAGACAACAATAATAATAGCTACCATGCATTGGTTACTTACTAGGTGACAAGAATTATGCAAAATACTTTTAGTGAAAAACTACATTTAATTTCACAACAAACCTATGAGATAGAGACTGTTATTGCCTATTAAAATTTTACAAATGAGGAAAGAAGCTTAGAGAGTTCAGTAACTTGCCCAAGTTCATATAGTTAATGAATGGCAAAGTAGGGCCTTGAATCCAGCCCTGCATGAAACCAGTGCAACTATCTTACCCATTCTGCTGTGCCAGCGGTCTCAGGGAAGTAGCCATTGCATAGAACTATAGAATCCTATGATTTGAAGGGGTCTGAGACAGATCTTATCATCTGGCACACTCCAGCTGAATGATTGCTTAGCCTCTGAGTTTAGATCTGTGTATTATTTACACCCATTGGTCTTAGTTTCACCCCTTTCTTTCAGAGACGTGGTTGTGCATAGTAACTCATTTCTTTTAACATATATAGGTATTTTTTCAATCAAGTGTCTGTAAATGCTGGTGGCATTTGGTAGTCTAAGTAAACTGTTATAGTTCAAGATCATTCCAGAGACGAGGAATGAGTAAATATTAACAACCCCCTGTGCTTGGTTGGAACTTGAAAGGACTGCATAACATCAGTGAGCAAGCTTTTGTCAATCACAATCTAGACAAGATTAGTCTTAAAGTCCAAAGAAGAACCAAAGTTCACTTTAGTGTAGAAGTTTCCACACAGTTCTCTTGGTTATTGTTTGCAAGTTTAAGGAAAAGAAAATGATGAAGGAGAAAGAGAAAACCATTGCTATTGTGAAGGTTATAGACACTTCAAAGTTAAAACTGGTGAGCAAGTATATTTTGGAATTCTTTCAGTGTTTGGAGATGAAACCACCTTAAATACTGAATTTAAACTTTATAAACTTATAGTCAATAAAATAAGGTATGTGAACATTGAGCTTTGAAACGCATAAAATATATTCTGCTGTATTGACAAGCATGCTTACTTACAAGATTATTTTTAGTGCTCTGGACTATAGTAAAAAATTATAACAGTATATTTAGTAAAAAATATTCAAACTCCTGTTTATTATTACTTTTTAATCAAAAGATGAGGGTTTCAAACTAATTGTTGCAGTGTTTACATTAAATTAATTGTTTTTATTTATTACTAAATAGGTCATATGTATATAATATGCATGATGCAAAAGTATTTATAAATTATCATTCTTTGTTTTATATTTTATCTCTTCTATTATTGTATATAGTCACATATTGTATTTCCAGATAATCTGCCACTATATTATAAACCAGCTCACCAAGGACAGGGGATCTCCTATTCCAGCTCAACACATTATATTTACATGTGTCATAATAGGACAAAAATAATAACAGCAATAACACAGTGGGATTTCTCTATTCAGTGCATGTCATTTAAACTGTATACCTCTGCTTTAGTAGCAAAGAAAACAAATTTAGAGGAATATTAATGGTGTGTGTCCTGAAACTATAAAGACCTTGTTTATTGCATCTACATTAATAAACACCCAAAAGGAAAGACAATAATCTTTCAAACGCCAATTTTTTGCATGCATTGTGCACTCTAGGCTCTCCTACAGTGATCCTCTTTATACATGAAGTTTATTTTCCTTTTATGTCTACAATTATTCTATCTAATCTTTTACCATCTTAGGGTCACAATGAATGTTTTCACAAAAAAACACAATATAGGATCCAAACAACTCAAAATACTGCCTCAGTTTCCCTTGACACTCATATTAAATATATCATAGTGCACAGACACATATATATAAGGTATTTTTTTCTTTTGTTATCTCTACTAATAAATTATCTGGAAATATAATATGTGACTATATATAAGACTTTTTTACATTTTTGTATTTATAATGAAATTATCTAGGACATTATATATATGTATATGTATATACACATATATATGCCAAAGATTCTTAGCTTTACATATATAATCCATTTTCAGGAACATGGTAAATACATACTATAATGCCTTTTCTCTTGCTGAGTGAATAAAAATGGAGAAAGATAAAACAATTAATTTAAATTCAATTAGAAAATGTATTGCAAGTTTGTTAGCCCCATGTTATTAGGGTGAAAGGAAAAATAAACCAGGCTGGCCTGAGGAGGAGTGCTGAAGAGGGCTTTCCCAACGTTGAGCCTTAGATTTGGATGCTTATTGAAGGAATGGGGACATTGGTAGTGCAGAAAACAGCAGTGGGAAAGAATATAACTGAGAAAAATTAAATCCAATGCCTTGTAACTTTTTTTAGCACTCAAAACACTTAAGACTAAAAGTTTTAAAGGCAAGGCCCTTCTACCTATAGGGTAGATAATAAAGAATCCAGACATTGTGTTAGACATTCCTTGGTTTGAATCCAAGCTCTCTACTTCTTTATAAAGCTATATGATCATGAAATGATGATTTCATTTCTTAGAGCTTTAATTATTTTATGTTTAAAATGACAATTATAATACTAGAGTTGTTGTAAAGATTACTTGAGATATAGTTATTTAAATTATTACTATGAAATATGCTTGGTTTAGTACCTGGTATGTAATAAATACTCAGCTGTCTATGACATAGCACGTATGTTAGGATCATGCTTGTATTTTATTATCTTCTTAAAAAAATTCCCCATATATAAATTCACAGATTCCTTGCAGTAACATTCTTCCCCCTCACACCCTCCCTGCCGCTAGGGTTTGAAGTCTATTGTTGAGAGCCATGGGCACAGTATGTTTACATGTGGTGGTAAGAAATCTTTCATCTTGAGAGTTAGTGGGAAATAATGTCGAATAGAGAAAGTGGGGCCATGCAGCAAGATTTTGAAAACTAAACGCAAGAATTTGGGCTTAATACATGAGTTAAGGCAGAAAGATTTTAGATTTCAGATTTTTTGACTGGGAGAAAGCAGAAGGAAGTTGTATTTTTAAACTATGAGTTAGTCTGGGAGGGGTAGTGGTAGTTAATTGAGAGAGATGAAGAAATACTAGTGGCGGGGAACATAATTTAGGCTTAGGGCTGTGAGGATCTTGAAATATGAGAATAGGGAAGAATTTTCAAACTGAGAAATAGCTCTTAAAAAAAGTCATATCTGAGTGATAGATCAGATATAAAATATGAAGAGGGAAGAGGCCAAAACAGTAGAAAAAGCATATGTGGAATTCAGGTCAGGTTATTTATGTTGTCCTGTATTTGTCCTGATAAGAATAGATGGATATATGAACATTTTCAGAGGTTAATTTTACTTAGATGTTTCTACAATAATTTTGGACCCAGATATTATTTTCTTATAGAGCAGCACTGATTTTAAACAAAGACAAAGCTATATTTTTCTAGGGTTATGAAAACATGTATTGTCTCAAAAATATGTTGCCAATGCACTGAATTTGAATAAAAGTTTCACTGTCTTTTCTTCCAGACTTAAAATTGCAATTTGGAGACATTAGTAACTTCAACTAAAAAAGAAAGAAAAAAAAGGGTGCTATTTTGATAAAATGTGAGACAAATGCACACGATTCCTTATCCTAACAGTAAGCAAATGTGTAATGGAAACTTTGACCCACAAGCATTCCATTTAGAGGATAAGGATATATGGTAAACAGTGTTTCACAATTTTGTATAGAATCATTCTACATGTAATTAAATCAGCATCTTTACACAGTAGTAGAGTAGGAGATTAAGAGTAACAAATTTGATGAACAGAATCAGAATATCTAAGCCTGAAGAGGTAGGAAAAATTCCCTTTAAGAAGCTATTACCGTGGTAGAATTTTTGTAGGTAAGAAATATTATGTCAAACTATTTACTGATCTTATCCAAAAAAGTTTATGAAACACATACCTTATGTGTAGAATTACTTTCATATCAACGTCAGTTAAAACTTAATTAATGTAAAACTATACAGAAAACTCCAGTTAGGCATTTAAAAAGAAAATCTGGCAGCATTGTGAAATTGTTACTGTCATTTCTACAGTTGTTACCACACTTGACAACAATGGCCTTATCTGTTCTTTCTCCTTTGCTAGTCTACCATGCATTGGGCTAAGAAAACATGATCAACTTGTTTTTCTTAGTTGTTTTTAACTTTGTATATATAAAGGATATCAAGCTGTGTGTGACATTTTGTAACAAATGTTTTCTCTTAATACTATATTCTGTATGAAGAGATAGACTGATACTGTAAACATAGCACTTTTCTTCTCTTACCTTATTACCTTGGCTAGAATTTCAAATACAAAGTTGAATGTCAAAAGGAATGATTTTGATGGGAATAATTAATTAGGATGTTTGCCTTAAAGTTTCAGACATATTATTTATTAAATTACCAAAATTCTATTCCTAATAAACTGAGTTTTATAATAAATGGGATTAACTTTTATCAAATGCTTTTTTCTGAATTTGTTGAGATGATCATAGATTCTTTTTCTCTTTTAAATTATAAAATACACTTATGGGAAATCAAACTTGATGGTGGCAAATTATTTATAGCTTTTGAATTCAAAGTGTTAATAATATTTTGCTGAATATTTATAATAATGAGTGAAATGGGCCTATAGTTTTTCCTCCTCTAATGTCTTTGTATGATTTTGGTGTCAGTGAATTGGGACATATTCCCGCTTGCCTTTAAAGTTGTTTGGAAGCATTTTTACAAAATGGCATGATATATTTCTTGAAAATATGATACTTTTCCCCATAAAAGTATCTAGTTCAGATTTTTTCTTTGTGAAGTATGTTTAAAGTACCTTTTGATTCTTCAGTAATCATAATACGATTACCACTATTAATTACTTCTTCAGTCAGTAATTACATTTACTAAGTAATATTTTTCTAGAAAATTTTGCATTTTGTCTAAGCATTTACAATCAATGGCAAATTTTTGTCAACCGTGAGCATAGATCATTTCACTTATTTATTTCCAATGTGGGTAGCTTTTGTTACTTTTTTTGCCTAATTATTCTGGCTAAAACTTACAACGCTATGTTGAAGAGAAGTAGTGAAAATAGGCATCCTTATCTTGCTCCCTGTTGGTAGTATATCCCATTATGTTTTTATATTGGGGTAAAATATAAGTAACATAAAATTTACCATTCTAAACATTTTTAAGTGTACAATTCAAAGGCATTAAGTACATTCATAATGTATAACCATCACCACTATCCATTTCCTAAACTTTATCAATATCCCAAACAAAAACTCTGTACTCATTAAACAATAGCTCCCCTTATCTCTGAATCTCCAGATCCTGATAACCTTTGGTCTACTTTCTGTCTCTATGAATTTCACTATTCTAGGTACCTCATATAAGTAAAATAATACAATATATATCCTATTGTGGTTGGCTTATTTCACTTAGCATAATTTTTTCAAGTTTCACCCATGTTGCAGCATTCATCAGAATTTCATTCCTTTTAAGCCTATTCCATTATGTGTATACACCACATTTTGTTTATCTATTCATCTGTTGATGGACATTTGACTATTGTAAATAATGCTAATATGAATACTGGTGTACAATTATCTGTTTAAGTCCCTGCTTTCAATTCTTTTGGATACATACTTAGAAGTGAAATTACTGGATCATATGTTAATTCTATACTTACCTTTTGAGGAACTTCCATACTTCTTTCCACAATGGCTGCACCATTTCACGTTACCACCAGCACTCCTCAATTTTTCTTTTGATATTAGCCATCCTAATGAGATTGAAGTATTACATGGTAGCTTTGATTTGCATTTTCCTAATGACTAGTGATATTGGGCATCTTTTCATGTGCTTATTGGCCATTTGTATATATCTTAATTGGAGAAATGTCTATTCAAGTCTTTTGCCCATTTTGAAAATTGGGTTGTCATCATTCTAAGCAAACTATCACAAGGACAGAAAACCAAACACTGCATGTTCTCACTCAGAAGTGGGAGTTGAACAATGAGATCACATGGACACAGGGTGGGGAATATCAAACACCGGGGCTGGTCGGGGAGAGGGGGACTGGGGGAGGGATAGCATTAGGAGAAATACCTAATGTAAATGACAAGTTTATGGGTGCAGCAAACCAACATGGCACATGTATACCTATGTAACAACCTGCACGTTGTGCATATGTACCCTAGAACTTAAAGTATAATAAAATAAATAAATGAAATTGGGTTGTTAGTTTTTGTTGTTGAGTTTAAGATTTGTTTTTATGTATATATTCTGGATCTTAATCTCTTAAGAAATACATGATCGGCCAGTAGCTTCTCCCCCTGTGAGGGTTGTTTTATAGATTTTTTTCTTATGTTTATGTATTTGATCCATTTTGAGTTAATTTTTGTATGTGGTGTTAGGTAAACATCTAACTTCATTCTTTTGCATGATGATAGCCAGTTTTTCCAACACCATTTGTTGAAAAGAATTCCTTTCCCCACTGAGTGGTCTTGGCACCTTTGTCAAAAATCATTTGACCATAAAATAGAGAGTTTATTTCTGGACTTGCTATTATACTCCCTAGGTCTATATATCTTATTGTCAGACTCACACTAGCACAGATTTAGATAACTGCAGCTTTGTAATAAGTTTTGAAATCTAGAAGTGTGAGTGCTCCAACTTTGTTCTTTCACAAGATTGTTTTGATTCTGCAGGGTCCCTTGAGATTTCATGTGAATTTAAAATGCATTTTTCTATTTCTTTAAAAAATGCAGTTGGAATTTGATAAAAATTGTATTGAGTTTTAGACTGCTTTAGATAGTATTGCAATGTTACAATATTATTTCTTTTCATCCATGAACACAAAATGCCTTTCCACTTATTTATGATTTCTTTCATTTCATTCAGCAGTATTTTTTAGTTTTCAGTGTATAAGCCTTTCGCTTCTCGGGTTAAGTTTATTCCTAAGTATTTCATTCCTTTTGATGCTATTTAAATGGAATAGTTTTCTTAATTTCTTTTTCAGTTTGTTCATGGTTCATGTGTAGAAATGCAACTGATTTTTGAGCTAATAAATGAGTTCAGCTAAGCTGCAGTACATAAAATCAGCACACAGTTTGATGGTGTATGTGCGTGTGTGCATGTGTGTGTGTAAGTGTAGAATCTTAGGGAGGGTTTTCTTAATATGAGATCGTGTCAACAGTTAGCAGAGATCATTTCATTTATTCCTTTCCAATATGGATAGCTTTTGTTACTTTTTCTTGCCTGGTTATTCTCACCTAAATTTACAATACTGTGTTGAATAGAAGTAGTGAAAACAGGCATCCTTATCTTGCTCCTAAGCTTAGTGGAGAAACTTTTTACCTTTTAAATCTAATGTACTGTTGTTACTTTCTCCTTTCATTTGAAATGTTATTCATTTAATCAGTTTTGCCAGAAGCATGTCAATCTTGTTAATTTTTTTTCAAACAAAAACAAGCTTTGGTTTATGAATCTATCTTTGTATTGTTTTGTTCTTCACTGATTTACGGCCTTATTATATTATCTATTCTAGTTTCTTTGGATTTATTTGGTTATTTCCCCTTTTTTTAAAAGAATGATGGTTAATTTATATAATTCAAAAATGAATCTATTTTTATCATTTATTATTTAAGGCTATGAATTTTCTTTAAAGCATTGTTTTGCCATATTCTAGACATTTTTACATGTGTTTTATCTCTGTTGTATTTTAAAATTCCACTATGATTTCATCTTAAACTTTGAGGTTTTTAACAATTTTCTAAAATTTCAAAATATTTTGGCAATCACTCTATGAAATGTGTTGAGGGTTTCTTTTGACTGAGCACCTAGTCAGTTTTTGTATATGTTCCATATGTACTTGAGAAAACTGTATTCACTATTTCTTCATGTGAAACTATATACAAGTCTATTGGGCTGAGATTTAACATTTATTGTTCCAGTCTTCTGTAGCATTACTGATTATTTTTGTCTGCTTGACTTTTCAAAAATGAAGAGATGTGTGTTAAAGTCTTCCACTATTTTTGGTGTATTTATTCATTTCCCCTTGTAGTTCTAAACATTTTGTTTCACATATCTGGAGGTTACTTTATTAGGAGCACACATGCTTGTAATTGTTATACCTTTTAGGAATAGTGACTCATTATCCCTAATAATTTTTTAAGCGTGAAAGCCCTTTTTCTGATATTAATATAGCTACATCAGTTTCCCCATGGATATCATCTGCTGGATATGTCTTTTTCCATTCTTTAAGTTTTAATCTTTATGTGTCCTTTTACTGTGTGGATATGTCTCTTGTAAGATACTTTTATCTAGTTCCTGTTTTCTTACTTTATCTGTCAATCCTTTACCTAGGGAGTCTGACCTGTTTAGATCAATTATTATTATTGATATGTTTTCACTTGCTCTTCTTAATTCATTTTTGTGCCCCATTTTTAAGTTTCTCCTTAATACATTCTTACCACTTTCACATCCTTTGGCTTCCCTGCGACAGCAACCCAATTGTGCTGATATTATCTGGATCGAGTTACATGGTTATGTGTTTCACTCAATCTTTGATCTTGGATCCACTGCCATTATTTATTCCGCAATCACTTTACCAAGATATTCGATCAATTTTATTTTATATTTTTGAGCATATTCTTTAAATATCTCTACTTATTTAAGCATTTCACCCCAACTTTTTCCAGTGTTAGTCTTTATGGGATAAACTTTCTTAAGCATTGTATGCCTAAGAATATATTTTATCATGGCCTCATGTGTGAATGACATTTGAGCTGGATATAAAACTATAAAACTTCGTTTTATTTTCTTTCAATGTTTTAAAATACAGATTTGTTTTATTTTTCCATTCAGTTTTGCTACTGAAAAGTCTTATATTAATTGGACTTTTGTTCTTTGTACACAATCTTTCTTTCTAGGCTTTTAGATTTTTTTCTCTTTATTATTGTATATTATTTCATTTTAGTATAATATATCTGAATGCAGGTCTTTTCTATCATTCTTATTAGGCATTCTATAAACACTTTGATTTTTAAATGAAAATAAAATAATGATAACTTATGGTGAAATAAAATACTGTCGCCCATTGATTACTATTAATTCTTAAAAATGTGTCTCCGTTACTTTAAAAAATTCTTTCTTCCAATATTATTTTTCTCTCTTTTCGAAACTCCTGTTATCTGTAATTTAGTTCTAATAATTCTATTCCCTGTATTGTTTAGGTGTTCTTTCATATGTTCTATTTCTTAGTCTTTTTCCTTATCCTCCTGGGAGATTACTTTAAAAATTTGGCTTTATATTTTACCAATTCGTTTATTCCTTTTTTATTGTTTCCATTATGTTATTTTTCCATTCTATAGGATTTTTTTTCTAAGCATTCTATTTCTCATATCTCTCATTTCTCCTTGGTCTCTTTGGTCATTATGTTTACTGTTCATTATTTTATATCACAAGTTATTACAAATACCTTTGATGTTATTTATAATGGTGTTTGTTGCCTTACTTTTGAAATAGTCATTTTCCTCAAATATTTTGATATTTTGACCTGCTAGCTCATTTTCTTCAGGAAATATTAGTTACTGTAGATAGCAGTGTATATGTGGAAAGGTTAGACTCTATTTGTTTCAGTCCCTATGACTTCAGCGTGGAGATGTGAATAAAATCTACGGCGAAGAGCCTCTGATACCAGGAAACTACTGTTATTCACTCCTCACCTCAAAGCAGTTTCTCAGATCAGGAGTTCACTTTTTTCTATCAGAAAGAAGTATTGCCTTATAGAGAAGTAGACTCTGCTCTATCAGGCCTTCTCTCTCACTTTGTTGACTGGATTTTATAATAAATTATTTATTTTATGTCTTTAAAGTTTGTGAATTTTTTGTTAATAATAATGTTTGCCTATTGTCACATCAAAGATTTTGCTTTACTGAGAAAGCAACCTTTTAAAAATATCATAATAAATATTTCTTCATAAAATAGGTATTCATTTGCCTACTGATCTACAAAATTAAGTTAAAACTTGGACTTTATTACCTAAGTTACTTATACCTTTGACAAATGTTGATAGAAGTTTTCTTTGTAAACTTTTTCACAGGTGAATGCAATCTGTACATTTTCACTAACACTGGACTCTTACATCTTTTAATGGAGAAAATGCACTTTAGGTTACATGAAGTGTATTACACACTTTGAAACTGAACTCAATTGTTTAATGATATTCAAAAAGTGATGAGCCATTTACATGAAATAGAGAAGTACCTATAGCATAAAATTAAATAGGATATTAATTATTGTGCTTTAGGGCATAAATTAGACAATAACCAAGATCAGAAGAATATGCAATACGGCTACAGTTCAGCCGGATTAGATTCATTATCAGAATTTAAACCCCATTTCTAAGGAATAATGCACTGGGTGCTGTCTGACTAGGTAATATGGAGGCAAGGAAATGCTATAGTTAGGTACCTCTTACTTTATTGTTGCGGTATATCTGTAATATGGCTCCTTTTCTTCCTTAACATTTCTGCAACTTGCCACTTCTTCATTGAAGTCCATCTGAATTCAGGCTCTTCAGAGGGAAAGTGCCCTTTTCCTAGTTCTGTCCCCCTCACTCCCTTTTTGTTCAACGTGTCCATTATGCTTCTCAAAGGCACAGTGGAAATGTGCAATTCAAGCTGGTGATGCCTCAGCTCATAACCAACAGGCCTTTCAAAAATGACCTTGGAAAATTTACACTTTAAAAAGTATGGCTAAGTGAGTCACATCTTAGAAAAACATCTGCTTTTTGGATTTCTTCCAAAGAATAATTGTATTTATTTGATACTAACACACATTGTCTGCCTAATTTGCTCAACTTTGTCCCTATTTTACAGATGAGAAAATTGAGGAGAAATAGCTGATGACTCCAATAGGTGGCTTTTATAGCTCCCTTCCAAGACCCATAAAGCAAAAATTCTCTTACAATTAAGTTTATATAAAGTAAACGTGAAGAGTCCTAATAGAGTTAATAATGAAAAAATATGAAAAAATACATCTGAGAGCCATATAAGTCTAAAATGTCCTTATTGATATGCATATAAACTGACGTGATTTCAACTGTATTTTCCAATTTTTCCCCTCAGGTATATACAACATTTATTATATATACTGTAATAGATTATTATCTCAGAAACTAATTTTGGATATAATATGTCCTTTCTTCATATTTACTTCCTGTCTGATTTTATCAGTTCTCTCAAATTGAATTGGAGTTTTGCAAAAAGTGGGTTGTGAAGTTAGATTCTTCATGAAGACTTGTTAAAGCATTGTTTTATTATATGTTTTATTCCTAGTCATTGAGGAAATAAAAAAAATTGCTTCTTATTCAGCTCTTGGTTTATTGCACAGAAGTGGAAGAAAGATACTCACAATGGAAATATCTTAAAATTTCAAATCCTGCATAGTGAATGCAGCTTGTTCTGGAATAATGAGTATTAACCTGAAATATGAATATTACTTAAATGTTATTTTCTTGGGAAATCAAATCAATAAGCACACTTTGAATAATGAATTGGTGCAATTTTGAATTGTGTATAAAGCAACTTAGGTTTTCTGAAAAATTGTTCCCAAGAAGCAGTTCAAGAATTGCAGTGTTGCTATAATTGGATGTACCCTATATTCACTAGAGGCAAAAGTAGTTTTAGACTACTTTTGGTTACCAGCTGGGATATTTATAATAATCTAGAACATTAAGTGTACAATGAGAAAAAGTATGCCTTCCAGGAAGGGAAGAGTTTCTCATTTAATTAACAGTGTAAAACACCTCTTGACTGTGAGTTGCTGGTAGCACTGATGGTATTAAGAAGGGTCCCAAAATGTTCAACCGTTATACCTAATTTGTGGGATGTGGTGAACTTTCCAGCTTTGCAAAGATGTATATTGATTTTTGTCCAAAATAATATTTTTAATTACATCCATTTATAACCAGGTCATATGCTGGATCAAACTTCCATAACTTTGTAAATATTAATAGGAATTTTCCTTCATACATGAACTGATTTCTCTTTTTGCTTAAACACATATAACTTTTTTTCAGCGCATCTTATCTGTAAGCATTTTATAATGCATCTTTTAAAAAGTTAATGCATACTCGTCTTGTTTAAAAGCAAAATGCCCCAAATTAGAAATTATTATTAACAAAATGCCACATTTAAAGTGGAAAATGTAATATATATAACTAAATATATCAATTTGCACAGAAGGTTTTTATTAATCTTTTCTTCCTTTTTCCTCTCAAGTTATCTGGAAGTATTTTGGATGTGTATAGCGGTGAACAAGGAATTTCACCAATTAACATGGGGCTTACAAGTGCTTCTTGTCCAAGTAGTCTACCAATGAAAAGAGAAATTACAGGTAATGTTGCTTTTATAGTTTTACCCTTTTTATTTTTATTAATGACATAAGTTATGAGTGACATATATTGTGCTAACTAGGATTTTAAAAGTATAACAAAACAGTTACAAAAAAGAAGGCAGACAGTAAATTCATCTTTTCTTTTTATGATAATCAAGCAGTAAGTTAAAATAACTTATAGTTTGACTGAATTGATTCATTATTTTGGAAATTGAGCAAATGCACATATATGTTTTACATACATATATACATGTATATACACACATATATACATACATATATAAAAGACAGCTTCATTTAACATAGGCTCATTTTTATATTAAATAGATGCCATTTATTAACATGGTTACAAAGTGAAATAATAAATTAGAGAAATTAGTCTATTCTTTGTATGCAGAATTTGATAAAAAACAAATATTGGATTTTTTTTTCTTTTTAGCTTGTTTTATGGATTTCATGATAGACTCACATTTAATTTTCTTAATTGAAAATAAACCCTGAGTTTTCAATAGTTTATTTTAATTGTTACAACTCAAATTATAGGAGCATAGTCAAATTCTTCCAAAATAAATGAGGAAATCAACCCAGGGTCAAAGGAGCTACTTTCCTAAAGGTGTAACAGCTGATTACAGGCAGAACTGGATCAACGTAAGGGTTTCCTGACTTCCAAGTCCAGTGTTAGATCCTCCGTAAGAATAAAGTAAATAAATTCACTTGAGATTTCTGCAATAAACTTTTGGTTTGGAGCTCAAACACCACGGTAAAATTTTAAATAAATACAACATGACCACTCTTAAAGCTCAATCAATAATTCAAAAATGTCTATGCATCCAAATTATTCAGACTAAAATTAATGACTATAGTTTTAAATAAATACATTTAAATAAAATGTATTATCTTATTAACTTTTTAAACTATAACTCTAATAATATTGTATTATTTTTGTTGCATAACAACAAATTACCCCTGAAATTTAGCAACTTGAAGTAATAAACATTTATAATCTCAAAGTAATAAACATTTATAATCTCATTCAGTCTTTGAGCATCAAGAATCCAGGAGTGGCCTAGTGAATTCGTTCAGACCAGAATCTCTTATGAGGCTGTAGTCAAGATGTCAGCCAGAAGTACAGACACCTGAGACTTGACTGAGGCTGGAGGATGCACTCCCGAGGTGTTTCACTCAAGTTCTTGTAGGATAGTGCTTCCTGTTGGCAAGTGGTCTTTGTCCCTGACTGCTTGGACTTCTTCATAGGGTTGCTTGAGTGTCCTCATGACATGACAACTAGAGATCAAAGAGATGCCAATGTGAAAGTTAAAAATTTCTCCTATTATCTAGCCTTGGATACCATACTAGTCATTTCCACAACAAGCTAGTGGCTTCACAGGTCAGCCTTATTTATTTAATGTGGGAGGGAATTACAAGGTGTGAATACTACAAATTAAGAATCATTGTAGGCCATCCTGGAGGTTGATGGTCATATAAATACAACCACACCATATATACAGGGAAGTGCCATTTACTGGAAGAAAGTGTGGAAGTGTTTCATATGGATATTTGAGAAATATAGTGAGTTGCAACTCTTGGGATGTAGAAATAATAATTACTAATAAAATATTTAGGTTGGAATAATTTCTGAATCTCAAAATTCTGAAAATAATAATTGAATACTATATTTTCTGTATACTATATTTCTTTTGGTTATCACAATGATTTTAAGGTAGGTATTGTATTATAGTCATTTTACAGATGAAGAGCCTGAAACACAGAGAAGTGTGGCAATAGATCACATGGCTATTAAATGGAGGGCCAGAAAATAAATTCAGTTTTTATTATCCCAGAGCCTAAAAGCTTTGCCATTGCCTTTCACTGAAGAGTACTGTTTTCCAAATTTCTGAATATTTGCATCAAAAATATTATTGTACCGTTTTGGAGCAAATAATATTTTATTTTCACCTAGGAGTTCTGAATTATGTTGCCTGGAGGGGTTTTAAGGTAGAACTAAGCATGGTTTTTATTATTTTTCTTTTGATCAGAAACTGACACTAGAGCTTTAGCAAAAGAGAGACAAAAAAAGGACAACCACAACCTCAGTGAGTATATATTTTTCCATATAAAATTAATGCAAAAGGAAATGCATAGAGGTTAAGGTGTGTGGTCTTTTATTATACTCCATAAGTATTTTCATGTCAGATGGCCAAAATTAATTGCACATATAACTTGATTTATTTTGGGAAATATTAACAATGTGAGCTCTCAGAAAAGCTATCTATTTTCACAAAATGAAACATCTCGAATTCCCTCCTTGATCATTCACTTCCAAGGAGGCTGCCTGTGACTGAGATGAGTGCATTTGGTTACATTTGAATTCTGTTGTGACTCACTGACTCAAAGGTTTAAAGAGATAAAAGTGACTTTTGAAAATGTACAACATTTAAATAATAAGAAACATAACTCCAGGTTCTCATTTTTCTGTGTCAATTTGCTCCTCCTTTCTTAATGATATGTTATCTGAAAGGCATTGCTGTGTTGCAGTGCTGAATTTCACCTCTGGAACAAATAGAGCCCTCATGCCTTCCTAAGGGTCAATTAGACTCTGATAACAGGTCATATGAGATGGAGAAATCGGGCAAGAAAAGTAGATTGGCAGCGAGGCTGAGCTTTAGAATGCTTGGTCATGTCTTAAATGTGTAACTGTCTCAAGTGAGCTTGACTAATTGAGTGTGAAGCCTTTTCGTTCTGGAAGCCAAATCAAAAACTGAGAACAGAGTAGAATGAAATTAAAATAAATAAAATATTGCAAATTCCTAAAACTAATGACTAATTTCCTTATGTATCGCTAGCTGAAATTGAGTATACACGTACTTGTGAAACCTGCATCTGTTCATAAAGCACCTGCCTGTGTCACAGTGATGTTTGCTGAGTGTGTGACTGTAAGACAAGAGCTGGCACATGGTCATAACAGTCCTCTGAGAAATGATTTTATTCTCAAAGGCTTTAGTGTCAGAGCAGATAACTTTGGTCCAGATTATGAGTGGGGAGAGCTAATGGTTGAGAGAAGGGATTAGTAAATTGAGGAACTTTTGGACTTTTCTCTTAATCAGCCACTTAACGATTACTGACCTTAATCCTACCTTCTCTCTTCTGTGTCTGCAGCTTAAACAAGTCATTTAATGTAGAGTAACATGGTGTCCTGTATATCCATTATCGAAGTGTTTCTTAATCTAGATACACCTGCTACATCATCTTGCTTTTGGAGGAAACAAACACTTAAAAAATTATAAGTTTTAAATAGAATGAATCTAGAAAAACCCTAAAAACTTGTGATGATCATAGCAAAATTACAAAGTAAGTCCAATTTACCAGAAGTTTACATAAAATTATGTTCCATTCTTCATAAAGACCCAGAGGCCAGGAGTGAATTTAGAATTTTCAGCTCATAGGATTTTGGCGTGAAAATGTCAGGGCAGGGCAGTGTCAGCTCTCAGCTTGCAGCCCCCCACTGTTCTTTCTGCACCCCCTATTCCATTCTGTGCTACAAGTGGCCTCAAATGTGACGGTGAACACCCTGTCCTGTACATTCAAGCTCCATATACAGCCCTGCAAACAACTGCCCATTGGTCAGAACTGGGGCCCCCAGTGAGCACATCGGTGTCATGTTCTGTCTTCAGGAGGATGGACCCAGGGAGGTGGTCTGCACAGGCTCTGGAAGTGAACTCAGGGAATTAGGGAGGAAATTGCTTGTGCCGATAACCCAGAGTATAGTTTAGAAGGGTTCCCTTGGCCCTGTGGCTGCCTTGCTGAGTGGAGAGAGGCATGGCCAGAGAAGGCAAGAGTGCTTCCTCTAAATATTGATCAGAGTAAGAGCCTCTCTTGCCTGGATCTAAGTACAGGATTAAGTGAATATGTCAAAAACTTTGTGAAGAGTGAAACCACCATGACATGAAGTAGTTTAGTAATTTCTTAAAACTTGACTCCTTTATAAGTAACTAGTACTAGGTATGAACACCATTGGGAGCCAGATTTCTCATTCTAATTAGCCATTTAAAAATTCATAGACTACTACCTAAGAAGAGTAGAGAAGAAGGTTCTGACATTCTACATCAGATAAATTTAAATAAAATATCTTAAAGAAATGTGACAGGACAAAAACAGTCCCTTATTTTGAGAAAAAAATCTCTGAACTTCCTTCATAGTTGTTCTTCATCTTGTATTTAAAAGTCTGGCTTATAAGAGTTAATGTGTGTGGACACAAAATTATTAAGAAATTCTTATTATTTTATATGTGCATATGTTATATATATACATTTCTATATAAGTATATATGTATTATATGTGTGTATATATGTTTCTATTAGCTTTACCTTTATTTTCTAGTCAGTGTTTTTTGTGGTGTCATTTTGCTGTTATTTGAATTATGTGCACAGGGGAAATAGGATTGGTGAAGAGGGAAAATAAACTCTTACCAGAACCAATTATATTCTCATTTTAGAGGAATCACAATGTATTATTCCTAAAGGTCAAATTCATTCATGTAATTTGCTTTGTAGAGTAAGTTCACCAAGGCAATTGATAGTCTTTGATGACTTTCCTTGTTTCTAGTAGCAGTTCATAATTCTCAAATGTGAACTGTTTAAGTATTTTCCAACATTTAAAAAAATATATTTTCCTTCTTCTTCATATCCTTTTCTACCTTTACTTCCCCAAAAGCTTTAAACATATCTGTTGAAAAAGATACCATGTATAAGTATATGTTATGGTTCTTGATATTAGGAATATAGAGTAGAAGACTGCTCTTAGAGAAGAGTAATACAGGAAATTTGACAGATATATATTGTATGTTGAACATTTACGATGTTCAGAAAATTGCCATAAGCAATGAATGTATGGAAATGCAAAAAGAGAAAACAGTCTCTGAATAAGAGCTTATATCAGCAGTTTTCAAAGCATTGGCCCCACAAAAACAGTATCAGCATCACCATGAAACTTGTTAGAAATGGAAATTCTTGCCCACTCTTGTCCCCCTACTTCCAGGACACACTAAAATTAGAATCTTTAAGTGTGTGGTGCAAATCTATTTTAACAATCCTTCCAGGTGTGTCTAAAGAGTGCCAAAGTATAAAAACCACTTATTTATATATTATTGGAAACTAAAATAGAAAAATAAATTTACAGCCTAATCAATATACATTTATTTACCACCTCCTATATGTCAAGCTCTCTGGTGATACAAAAATAAGTAAGTTAGGTCCCTGCCCTCAAGGAGGTCATAGAGTCTAATTGGATACACAGACCTACTATGTGCTAAACATTGCGTTAGGCTTTGAGGACAGTATATGAGAAGAGTAAAGAGTGTTGCACGACCTCGAATGATTACAATCCTGATGGACTGACAAATTGCCAATGTGTGAAATAATCAAAGAGTTATACATGTTAATATATACTTATACACATTTCATTATGAGTATTATAGTATTTTAAGGAATTTTTAAAAATGTTTTGTGACAAAATGTTTTTAAAACAGTGTAAATCATAGATTTATAATTCTAATATTGAAACCTTTACTTTTAGAATGAGAATTTTTATTTTATTCTTGAGAAGTATTATCTTTTGACTAAATGGAAAGTTTTTTTCCCATTGTTTTTAAAAGATTGTTAAAAATGTTTACAGCTGACCAAAAGTGAACTGTGCATTAATGAGAATAATCAATAATATTTCTTCTTTAATAGTTGAAAGAAGAAGAAGGTATAATATTAATTACCGAATCAAGGAGCTTGGCACTCTTATTCCAAAGTCTAATGATCCGTGAGTTCAACAATCATTTCTATAATAATGTTATAATTTAAAGACCCCCAAAATGAATGGGAGGGAAGAAGGGAGGAGAGAACCAATGACTAGGAAACTAAGCAGCTTATAGCAAAAATAAGGCTATTGCTGGGCTCATTTTAAAATGTCTATTCCAGTCTGATTGTTATTGAGCATCAGGGCTGTTACTAAGAGTTGTCCTCTTGAGCTATAAGAAGTAAATAAGTTATTTTTCCTCAGTTCATAGTGAGTCTTTCTGTATGGTGACAATATTGTCAAATTTAGTGATAATGTCAAATACTACTTATGATGCTGACTGGTATATTCAATTTTTATGAGTATAACAATTCTTCCAATTTAAAATTTGTGTGCAAGTGAAAATAGAATTGTTAGATTTTCCAAGGTCCCCGAATTTTGGAGACACACAAGTAACAAATGGAATCATAAAAGCATATTGATTGATGCTGACCAGGCTTTGTGCTGTATGCACAAAATGTCCATCAAACAAATTACTTACTCTTGTAAATATTGAGAAATAAAGTGTTAACTTAAAATGTTGAATGTTTCTTTAAAAATGTGAACGCCTGTAATCCCAGCACTTTGGGAGGCCAAGGCAGGCAGATCACTTGAGGTCAGGAGTTTAAGACCATCCTGGCCAACATGGTGAAACTCTGTCTCTATTAAAAATACAAAAGTTAGCCAGGTGTGGTGGTGCATGCCTGTAATCCCAGCTACTCAGGAGGCTGAGGTGGGAGAATTGCTTGAACCTAGGGGGCAGAGGTTGTGTTGAGCTAAGATCATGCCACTGCACTCCAGCCTGGGCAACAGAGCAAGACTCCATCTCAAAAAAAAAAAAAAGTGAAAACATGGAATCTGTAGCATTAATAATGATTTGAAAATATTTCATTAAAACTGAGAACTTTTGAGTAGGTTGCGAAAATTTTCTCCCATTTTGTAGGTTGCCTGTTCATTCTGATGGTAGTTTCCTTTGCTGTGCAGAAGCTCTTTAGTTTAATTAGATCCCATTTGTCAATTTTGGTTTTGGTTGCCATTGCTTTTGGTGTTTTAGACATGAAGTCCTTGCCCATGCCTAGGTCCTGAATGGTAATGCCTAGGTTTTCTTCTAGGGTTTTTATGGTTTTAGGTCTAACGTTTAAGTCTTTAATCCATCTTGAATTGATTTTTGTATAAGGTGTAAGGAAGGGATCCAGTTTCAGCTTTCTCCATATGGCTAGCCAGTTTTCCCAGCACCATTTATTAAATAGGGAATCCTTTCCCCATTGCTTGTTTTTCTCAGGTTTGTCAAAGATCAGATAGTTTTATATATGCGGTATTATTTCTGAGGGCTCTGTTCTGTTCCATTGATCTATATCTCTGTTTTGGTACTAGTACCATGCTGTTTTGGTTACTGTAGCCTTGTAGTATAGTTTGAAGTAAGGTAGTGTGATGCCTCCAGCTTTGTTCTTTTGGCTTAGGATTGACTTGGCGATGTAGGCTCTTTTTTGGTTCCATATGAACTTTAAAGTAGTTTTTTCCAATTCTGTGAAGAAAGTCATTGGTAGCTTGATGGGGATGGCATTGAATCTGTAAATTACCTTGGGCAGTATGGCCATTTTCACGATATTGATTCTTCCTACCCATGAGCATGGAATGTTCTTCCATTTCTTTGTATGCTCTTTTATTTCCTTGAGCAGTTGTTTGTAGTTCTCCTTGAAGAGGTCCTTCACATCCCTTTTAAGTTGGATTCCTAGGTATTTTATTCTCTTTGAAGCAATTATGAATGGGAGTTCACTCATGATTTGGCTCTCCGTTTGTCTGTTATTTGTGTATAAGAATGCTTGTGATTTTTGTACATTGATTTTGTATCCTGAGACTTTGCTGAAGTTGCTTATCAGCTTAAGGAGATTTTGGGCTGAGACAATGGGGTTTTCTACATATACAATCATGTCATCTGCAAACAGGGACAATTTGACTTCCTCTTTTCCTAATTGAATACCCTTTATTTCCTTCTCCTGCCTAATTGCCCTGGCCAGAACTTCCAACACTATGTTGAATAGGAGTGGTGAGAGAGGGCATCCCTGTCTTGTGCCAGTTTTCAAAGGGAATGCTTCCAGTTTTTGCCCATTCAGTATGATATTGGCTGTGGGTTTGTCATAGATAGCTCTTATTATTTTGAGATACGTCCCATCAATACCTAATTTATTGAGAGTTTTTAGCATGAAGGGTTGTTGAATTTTGTCAAAGGCCTTTTCTGCATCTTTTGAGATAATCATGTGGTTTTTGTCTTTGGTTCAGTTTATATGCCAGATTACATTTATTGATTTGCATATATTGAACCAGACTTGCATCCCAGGGATGAAGCCCACTTGATCATGGTGGATACGCTTTTTGATGTGCTGCTGGATTCAGTTTGCCAGTATTTTATTGAGGATTTTTGCATCAATGTTCATCAAGTGTATTGGTCTAAAATTCTCTTTTTTTGTTGTGTCTCTGCCCGGCTTTGGTATCAGGATGATGCTGGCCTCATAAAATGAGTTAGGGAGGATTCCCTCTTTTTCTATTGATTGGAATAGTTTCAGAAGGAATGGTACCAGTTCCTCCTTGTACCTCTGGTAGAATTCGGCTGTGAATCCATCTGGTCCTGGACTCTTTTTGGTTGGTAAGCTATTGATTATTGCCACAATTTCAGCTCCTGTTATTGGTCTATTCAGAGATTCAACTTCTTCCTGGTTTAGTCTTGGGAGAGTGTATATGTCGAGGAATTTATCCATTTCTTCTAGATTTTCTAGTTTATTTGAGTAGAGGTGTTGGTAATATTCTCTGATGGTAGTTTGTATTTCTGTGGGATCAGTGGTGTTATCCCCTTTATCATTTCTTATTGCATCTATTTGATTCTTCTCTCTTTTTTTCTTTATTAGTCTTGCTAGCGGTCTATCAATTTTGTTGATCCTTTCAAAAAACCAGCTCCTGGATTCACTAATTTTTTGAAGGGTTTTTTGTGTCTCTATTTCCTTCAGTTCTGCTCTGATTTTAGTTATCTCTTCTGACAAAGGGCTAATATCCAGAATCTACAATGAACTTAAACAAATTTACAAGAAAAAACAAACAACCCCATCAAAAAGTGGGTGAACGACATGAACAGACACTTCTCAAAAGAAGACATTTATGCAGCCAAAAAACACATGAAAAAATGCTCACCATCACTGGCCATCAGAGAAATGCAAATCAAAACCACAATGAGATACCATCTCACACCAGTTAGAATGGCAATCATTAAAAAGTCAGGAAACAACAGGTGCTGGAGAGGATGTGGAGAAATAGGAACACTTTTACCCTGTTGGTGGGACTGTAAACTAGTTCAGCCATTGTGGAAGTCAGTGTGGCGATTCCTTAGGGATCTAGAACTAGAAATACCATTTGACCCAGCCATCCCATTACTGGGTATATACCCAAAGGACTATAAATCATGCTGCTATAAAGACACATGCACACGTATGTTTATTGCAGCATTATTCACAATAGCAAAGACTTGGAACCAACCCAAATGTCCAGCAATGATAGACTGGATTAAGAAAATGTGGCACATATCCACCATGGAATACTATGCAGCCATAAAAAATGATGAGTTCACATCCTTTGTAGGACATGGATGAAATTGGAAATCATCATTCTCAGTAAACTATCACAAGAACAAAAAATCAGACACCACCTATTCTCACTCATAGGTGGGAATTGAACAATGGGAGCACATGGACACAGGAAGGGGAACATCACACTCTGGGGACTGTTGTGGGGTGGGGGGAGGGGGGAGGGATAGCATTGGGAGATATACCTAATGCTAGATGACGAGTTAGTGGGTGCAGCGCACCAGCATGGCACATGTATACATATGTAACTAACCTGCACATTGGCACATGTACCCTAAAACTTAAAGTATAATAATAATAAATTTAAAAAAAAACTGAGAACTTTTTTCTCCAAATACTGGATATTATTCATTATCCGGAAATGATCATGTTTGATAAAGTGATACTTGTGGGCCAGGCACATTGTCTCATGCCTGTAATCCCAGTACTTTGGGAGGACCAAACAGGAAGATTGTTTGAGGCCGGGAGTTCAAGATCAACCTGGGTGTGATCCGACCTCTAAAAAAAAGAAAGGAAAAGAAAAGAAAAGAAGAGAAAAGAAAAAAGAAAAGAAAAGAAGGAAGGAAGGAAAGAAAGAAAAAGAAAATAAAGAGAGAGAGAGAGAAAGAAAGAAAGAAAAAAGAAAGAAAGAAAGAAGGAAAGAGCAAGCTTGATATGGTAGCATGCACCTGTACTCCAAGCTACTCAGGAGGCTGAGACACAAGGATCACTTGAACCCAGGATTTCAAGGCTTAAGTGAGCCATGATCGCACCACTGCATTCCAGCCTGGGTGGTAGAATAAGACCCTACACACACACACACACACACACACACACACACACACACACACGTTATGTTTCTGAGATTTTAAAGCACTTTTTCTCTAAATCCGAATTTGCTCATTTATTTGGACAATTCAACAATTTGTTAGAAAAGGGAATGCAATATTTGTCCTTATGTACATACTAGATTGTGAAGACATTTAGGGTCTGAAGAGCTCAGGCCTAATTTAGACTCTACTCCAAACTCTTCAAATCTTTTAAAGTCTCTAAACATGTGACTCTGTTAGCTAAAGAAAACACTTGTCTTCCCTATATGCCTGTGTTTTTATAAAAATAAAATCAAATAAGGTGTATGGGAATAGTTTGCAAGTTATAAAGTTTTATGAGAGATTATTACTCCAAATTTTAATAAAAACTTTATCTAAAGACTCCTTTCTAGTTCTAATTCATTTTCTAGAACATAGAATGGTAAGTACTTTTTGTATAGGGCCAGATAGTAAATATTTCAAGCTTTGCAGGCCATACAAAAGTCTTTGTCACAATTATTTAACTCTGGCATTGTAGCATGAAAGCAGACACAGACAACATGGAATGAATGAGCTTGACCTCATCCAGTGAAATTTATTGACAAAAATAAGCTATGGGCCGTAGTTTGTCTACCCTTGGTCTAGAATATGAAAATTCAATTTAT
Organism: Homo sapiens; assembly: GCF_000001405.40. Lineage (NCBI taxonomy): Eukaryota > Metazoa > Chordata > Mammalia > Primates > Hominidae > Homo > Homo sapiens. The sequence goes on along the minus strand of NC_000007.14, from coordinate 115,945,773 downwards.
GATAGACCAGAATTGGGAAAACTGCATTGCAAGCATTGTTTTTCTCTTCCTTATGAATCTCAGAAAGGAGGGTTATTATTTGTTTTATTTCTATTGTGTTGTATGTAGGCAAATAACATTTATTTGGGGTCTAATGGAAAACACATTAATTAGATGTTGAATATGTCTATACGTGGATTTTTCCGTATATCACAGGTAGAGAAGACACTTCACTGAAATGTGTGACATTCCAAAAATCTCAGTACTAATTCTGTTTAAATACATTTTATTCCTTGGCTTGCTGTGGCCTCACCTGTTACTCCAGTGTCCCTCTTTAGGGTTTAGCAATGAGGGTCCCATGATTGAATCCAGAGTGTATCCTCTTAAAATGACTCTACCTGAGAACCATGGTCTGGCTCCATGGACTAAGGAGTACCCATCTACGTGACAAAATTATTCTGGATCCATTTGTCAAATTTTCAAATGTTATTAGGGATAATCTAAAAGTCACAGGAAACAAGAATGCTGGAAAAAGGGAAGGGTAGCATAGAGGAGGCAAATTTACTTTGAGGGTGAGAAAATAAAAGAAGAAATGACATTATTATGTTATGACAATGAGGAAATTAACAAACAGTGGATCTGAAAAAAAAAAAAGACCATACAAGATTTTAGTTTGAGTTTAGCAAATTTTTGAATAACTTGTTGAACAGGTGACTACAACCATTAAAATGACTAAGAACAGTTTTTAAAAAATAAAAAGTATATCAGACTATACAATTATCTAGTATGAGATATTTTAAATTATGTGCCATATCTATTAACGAGTCATGGAATCACTCAAATGAGACAAATGCAGCATTTTAAACAAAAAAGGAAGAATAGCATTGAAAATATGAGAGTATTACATGTAAAGAGAATAGGAAAGCCCTGTGAAATCTTTGTTGCAGTTTTATTTACTAAGAGTGTGCCAAGTCACTATATAAAGCGTATTTCTTATGACAGATGCATTTGAAAGGTGGGAAAGCCACAGGTTGGCAGAAAGAGTACTGAATTGAGAGAGGAAACCTGGGGCTTATCTCCTAAACACCATATACTCTTGGGCATATAGCAGCAATTGTGGCATGGTTGGCCTTTGAGTACCTTTCCAGCTCATGATTGGAATATATTTTGGAGTTGGCTTAGGAAATAAAAGCTAATACCTGAAGACACTTTGAATTCTATGAAGTTTTTATTTCTATGTATCAAAATATTCAGAAAGTTCTATTTCTTTGCAGGTCAAAATGGTGAGGTCAGAAGGAAAAGTAATATAGAGAACAGCTGTAATTGAGACGTACAGGTTGAGAAAATTACATGAAAAAAACATGACCAGGCAATGACAATCTCTTGACCGGTGTTAACAAAACAAAACCCAAACAAAAATAACAATCAAAGAGAAAGAGTGAAGAGCTTCTACAACATGTAGTAGTTGTCCTCTTTAGCTTTCTTGGAAACACTTTTGTCCATATGTGTTTTTGTGAGCCATGTTTACAAAAATTACATGAGTAGAAAGTTAAAAGTATTATTAGATCTTTAATTACTCTATTACTCTTGTTTTTGCACTGTAAAAAGTTTTCTAAATAGTTTGAAGTTTTTTTACTTAATCTTTACTCTCCTCTACAACCAAATTCCTCCTGCTTTTGTGTAAGAATGATAGTTGGTGTAGAATACGAGACCTGACAAAACTTTCTAAGTCAGGAGTCACAAAATGTTGAAGCAAAAAAAAAAAAAAAAAAAAAAAAAAATTCAGACCTGTCATAGTATTATTTTCTTTCTTTTTAAAATCTTTTTTTAAAATTATTTTTTAATGCTTTTAAGTGGATGTACACCCCTAAGATAACAACAGATTGTACATTTTCCATAGTTTTGCCTGGCAGCACTCCTTACTCCAATTTATACATTTGTATTATCTGCTCTGACTGTAAATGCATTCAGGCTTTTAATCCACCAACATTTTAAGATCTTAAAAAATTGTTGTGCAGAAAATGAAGGGCCAGCATCAACTATCAACATTCATTCTTTAGCCATGCCTTTATTGGTGTGTCTGTGTTTATATGGTACCACCCTATATAATATTTGTAATGCCTACTTTGTTGAAATTGTTTTGGGAGAGAGGCAAAAGTCTCTTTAGTAAATATAAAAAATAAATAGGAAAGAATCTAGTACATTAAAATTTCTTTAAAATAGAGGAACTTAAAAAAATTATTGTAAGTGACATCAGGTACAAATTGAAGGGAGGCTCATTGTGTGTTCTCTACTACCATTTTGAAGGTTTGTTTTTGAACTAATAGTACTTTAAACTTCAAATATGGCTAGGGTTATCTTTTTTTTTAAATCTGTTTCTCTGTCCTCAAGCTTTTCTTTCCATGAGAAAAAATGACACAAAATAAGGGTCCATAAGGCTTTTGCTACTACTTAAATTTTAGTTTAGAGTCCATTACATGTTTCAGTTACAGATACTTGGTTTAGCACCAAAGATAGACTGTCTCTCCCCACCCTTCCCACCACCACCATCCCACTCATTCCCCTCACCCCCTGTGAGTGGAATGAGACCAACAGCCATTATAGCCTTAAAGAAATGACAAAGCATTTTCAAACTTGCGATGTCCATTGACAATGTTTTGGTGCATTGCAGTAGAACAGAGCTCTTATCCAGGCTCCAGTAAGCACTTTCACCTGCTGGTAGAAAAATGTCTCTTCTTTTAATATTTTACTGCTAATGGCATTGTCACATCACCAAAAATATATGTAGAAAAATGTTATATTTCCCTACCTGTGTACTTTATGCTATATTAAAAACATCTCGTGACTCTAAATTCAAAATGTATCCAGGTTTTCCAACAACTCTGATTAACATTTAGCAATTACTTTGGACTCATTCTCCAAACATATTATTAGTTCTCATGCAGTATTACATTCATTAATGTATATTTTCAGATATCAAAATCAGTAGCCTCTTCCACAATTTCATATCTTTAATTTCTCCTGTCTTAAAAGTAAGTTTTAATGAAATGATTTCTTCTATGCTATAGCCTAAAAAGTTATCCAGTAATGTTTAATTATATTTACTTATCTTAAATGTATTTAAAAATAGCTATTCACATCAAGCTTTTAAAAAGTTTTGATGATGTTTGTATAGAAAAAAAATGACTGAATGGTTTTAGAAAGTTTGCTCTATTACATAAAGTGATGTTGCCAGAGTCTGATTTGTTTCACAATTGCTCAGGATCACCATTCAGGAGGGACTTTAATTTTTTCTTAGAAACATAAAAGCAACCTTATTAGAAAATAGGTTAAAAGATTGCTACATTTGAAATGATCTTAAAAAATTTAGGCTTAAGTCCTCAGTAATGTACATTTCCTAGTTCATTAATGCAGAAATACTGCACATAGATTTTAATCTTGGAGTTAATAATAAAAGCAATTTTCACTAAAAATATAAAAACTGTAATGGTAGAATCATGATATTGCATTTAGCTCTCCCACAAAAAGTCACTTTATTACTTTCTTTTGACACTTATTTTCATTCTGGGATTAATTTTACTATATAAGGGCTTCTTAACTATTCTATTAAAATTTCTATTCAGAAGCAATAATATCTAAGAGTGAATAATAGTCATGTAAATCATTATTTCATATTAATGTAAAAGATTTTGTAAGTTCTTATGAATTCTGCTGACATGCACAATTGTGAAAAGGTTATCTCTCCATTCTACAGTGATATGCGCTGGAACAAAGGAACCATTCTAAAAGCATCAGTGGAGTACATCAAGTGGCTACAAAAAGAACAACAGAGAGCCCGAGAATTGGAACACAGACAGAAGAAATTAGAGCAGGCTAACAGGCGACTTCTACTTCGGATTCAGGTTTTTATAAGAATGTAGCCATGAGTCACATAGCTTACACATGACTCAGCTGTCATCAGTTTTCTTCATTGGTCTCATTTATTTTTTCTCTTATTAACAATTATTTTTCCTTTTGAAGGATAATTTTACTGCTTTTTAGAAGTTCGTGAATTGGGTTGTTTCAATTAGGATTTGACTAGAAATCCAGGATCAAGATGGCTGAATATGTATATATGTATATATGTATATACACATATATGTGTATATATGTGTGTATGTGTGCATGTATATATATATACACATATATAATGACAACAAATTACAAAATGCATAAAATATAACTCATTTCATAAATGCACACATTATTATCCTAATCAAATAATAATACTAAGTAAAACATTTGTTTCTCTACATTATATTGGACATTAAATTCTCCCCTCCTTCTTTCATTTCTTTCCAACATTGCTATGGATTTCATTGCCTCAAGGCATGTTGTGACAGTGTATATTAAGTCACTTCTCATCTGTTCATATAATCCAAAATATCAAAATATGGGCTTTTATAACTCTCAAGATTTTTTAAAAATGTGAGTATGCTTAGCACCAGGTAAAACATTTACTGTTTCCATGAAAAGGTCCTGCATTTACAGTGAGAAATTAATCAGGAAGAATAAATAGATGACTTTCTGCTATCTCCAAATGGCTATATTGTAGTCTGAGCCACTATGGAACCATCATCAGTCATAACCTTTGTAGAACAATGAGACCAAACTTAAAAAAAAGTCTGAGTAATTTTCTCAGAGTTATTTTTCATGCATCAGAAATGTATCAATTTCATTATTTGCAAAGATTATTCATAATTTGTATTGTATTACTCTTCATTTTAAATGCTTGTTAATATTTTGATTCTATGTCTGGCTTATTCTCTAGTGTTAAATCCAATTTCAAAGACATTATTTAATGATTTTCGTTTGAAATTACAGGAACTAGAAATTCAGGCTCGTACTCATGGTCTGCCAACCCTGGCTTCACTTGGCACGGTTGATTTAGGTGCTCATGTCACCAAACAGCAGAGCCATCCTGAGCAGAATTCAGTAGACTATTGCCAACAACTGACTGTGTCTCAGGGGCCAAGCCCTGAGCTCTGTGATCAAGCTATAGCCTTTTCTGATCCTTTGTCATACTTCACAGATTTATCATTTAGTGCTGCATTGAAAGAGGAACAAAGATTGGATGGCATGCTATTGGATGACACAATCTCTCCATTTGGAACAGATCCTCTGCTATCTGCCACTTCCCCTGCAGTTTCCAAAGAAAGCAGTAGGAGAAGTAGCTTTAGCTCAGATGATGGTGATGAATTATAAGAAATAAACAGACCCAATTCATCAACTGGAAAGCAATTCTATGCTGGTGCTATGCAATTATGCTCTGTGTTTCATATGTTGCTTTGGCTTATTTTTTTTCTTAAAGGAATGTGTTGTTCATGAAAAACTGATAGAAGCAACAGAAGAATTCGCAGGAAGAAAAATCATAGTGTTAATGAATTATTGAGGGCGAAAAAAAGGTGTTTTCTTCTTTGACTACGGAGTCCAAATCCACTTAAATTCTGTTTTCCTGAAAAGAGGTACAGCATAAGAAATAGCTCTTTATTGATGTTTTAAAAGCAGCAACTTGGTGGTGTACTACTGGAACTAATGACTGCAAAGTGTTAAACGACTGAAATATACAAACAGTCTCTTAGTTACTCATTTCCATCTTCTCTTCAACTTTCACATCAGTCTTCCGGAATCAAGATCAACATATCAGGTGGTCATTGCCTTTCTCCATTGTCTAGTAGACATGTCTAAAGTTCAAACTTTATAGGATAAATAAATGTATAATAGATTATCTGTCACTTGTGGTTGAAAGGCAAATCTACAATAAATGTGAGAATTTTCCACAATAAAATATGGATAACTTATAAAAACATTGGTTACTAAAATTAGATCCTCATTTTATTGTAGTTGGTTCAATTACACTAATTCTAAAAGCATCCATGCATATTTATATCTCCAGTCTCTGTTCAGGAAAAGGAACATATTGAATATTTTCCTCAGGAATATGGACCAGAATTGTATCCCTTCACACAAACATACACATACACATATGCACATCATTCAGGTAGTATATGTTCTTTTGTTTTCTTCATGCTTCTGACTGCATCAGAATCACATTCCAAATTCTCTTTTCTTATGAAGAAGAGATGTCAGATCATCAATTTTAGTAAATAAAATATAAAATGTCCCCCTGCAAGGACAGTTTTCAGGTACTTAAAACTTTTCATCAGTATTGGACAGAAATCAATTAGTTGTTGATTTGGTTTTTCTCCAAATGGATAAAATATTGAAAATTGAATTGCCAATTGACAAAATAATTATTACAACAAACTATTTCTTATTATTTTCAGTTCTGAGAGGAACGTAAGGTTCTATTTCTATAAACACTTAGAGTGTCCTATGATCTTTGGTTGCACTGTTAGCATTTATTATAAGCACTTATAACTATGATGCTTCATTTAGATTTTTATCTCTTGCGCTTGTTTTAGGTTAGGAAATTAAGTTACCAAGCACGTTGCTCTGTGCTGGACCTCCAAGAGTGATCATCCGATCAATGAGTATTCATGGAGGCATACTCAGAACTGCAGTGAGTCCTGAGAAAATGTAGAAGAGTTGAAAAAGATATGGTCTTACTCCTAAGGTAGTTAATGAGAATGCATGAAAAACAAAAACAAAAGATAGAAGACATATAGAATAAAAAATCTAAGCATAAACTGTAAATACAGAAGGTCAGAGAAAATGAAAATGACTGACAAACTTTATGGGAACAGCAGAATTTGACTTCTCTTTGAAAGGCATTAATTGAGTGAAAGTGAGGGCATATAAAGGAATAATACCAACCAAATGATAAAAGTGAGAATAATAGGGGAAGTATCTTTATAGGACTTTAATTAGAAAGATCTGGATGCCCTAGAAGATGTCTGTTGGGGAGTTCTGAAGCATAAGACTGACAACAGGTTGTGAAGGCCCTTAGAAAACTATGGTGAAATAATATAGTATTAATATAATAGAAACAAATCTTTTTAGTAGCAGGGAGGATGCTAAAAACTAAAATATATATTACTAATGAGTGAGATGTAATCTTTCATGAATATTAAGCTTTGGGATAAATTTTGAAAGGATCTTTTAGTTGCTTCTCACATGGAAAATATGTCACTATGAAATGTGAGACCCTAATGCTGATAAAAGTAGAAAAATAGTAAATCATTATGGTATAATAATTATCTCAGGCTTAGCTTGTATCATTTGCTCAGAATTTGGAGAATTAAAATAATTTTATTGTTTGACATGGAAAAATAATTACTAACTTCTGGGTACAGTCATTAAAGCCTGATAGATAAATTCATCTGAAATATGCCATGTGAAACAGCTATTAGATACATCTTCTCAATAATTTTCAAGACGATATTACATACTTTTAATTTTATAACAAAATTCCACTTCATTATCTGAGTTGATAATTTGATTAAATGTTAAAAATTATAGATAAGGAATATATTTTGGAGTTCATAGAAAACACACCACTTTATTAGATAGAGACTGGCTTCAGTTCTCATTTTATCTGCTCTTCTCATTTCTTCATATTTTGAGTAGACTTGCACTGATGATGTCATTACTCAGTCATTATTTTCTGTTCTGTTAAGGTACAACTACTGGGCCTTGAAATCTATCCTTCACAATCTTGGCTGAGATAAGGACTTGGCACAGGATGATAGAGCCTGGACACAAGAGATCTGGAGAGGGAACTGCTATTTGCTGCTACATTCAGATTATGAGATGTCAGGGAACTGTAAAAAGGGTAATGAATTTTTAAAGAGAGTAAAGAGTTATGCTGTGTCCCGGTCAACTGAAATACATTAAAAATTAATTAGATGGTAGTTCTTAACTTTTTAAGGCAGATACCTTGAGAATCTAGTGAGTTATAGACCCTCTCCCTAGAAAAGTATAGAACTGTTTATATGGACAATAATTCACATGCATTCAGAGATCTTAGGGATCTCCTGAATGTTTTCTTGGATCCCAAGTGAAAAATTCCTGAATCAGGTCTCTTAGGTGTGCGGTTAATGTCATGTATAACAATGGGGGGACCCTTACTTATCTAAATATAATTATCCCAATCCTAATAATGATGAGGTTGCATAGGAAAGTAATAGTGTACCAAACTTTAGATTATTCACTAAAAAAGTTGTTCATTTATGAAGTAGTCGTTTATCAAACATGTCCTCCCCACTCAGCAAACTATGCCTTCTATTTATTATATATGGGTCAGTTTCACTATAATTACTGAGTGTTATAAACATCTGACCATAACATTTTGAAATGATGCAAATAAATTTCCAAACAAAAATAGTGTGAATTTAAAAGCAAATTATTTGAGTATCTAAGAAACAAGATAGACTTCTAGAAAAATTTGACTCTCTAGAATATTTCTTGCAGAAATGAGATTTTTCATAATAGTAAAAGAGGCATATGTTTATCAAACAATGCTGTCACAAAAAGCATCAACTGTAATGGGACTATTAATGCATAATTATTGATTTATTCATTCAATTAATATACAATTATCCCTTTTCATTTAAAGATTTAATTCATAATTACAATTATAATAAAACTTCCTTTAAAGTAAGATACAATAATTTTATTGTTTTTCATTCTTTTTTCAACAAAATATCCCATCCAATCATTTTTTATATTATTAAATATTGGCTGCTTTTTCTTGGATTCACATTAAACAGCCCTTTCCAACTTCCAATTGTCTTAAAATAATGATGACCTCCTGTGAGTAGATACAGCTCTTTACAATTTTTTTCTTTAGTGCCTTTTCTTCTTGAATTTTTCCTATATCAAATGGAGAATATATGTACAGATGGTATTTTCTCAGTTTATAGGCATATCAGTGACCATGGCTTTCTTTATATAGGTTTTTAAAAAAGCCCTAAATAATAAATAGCCAGATGAGCTGGGGACATTGAGAAATAGCCTTCCTCTTCCTTTTTCAACTCATTTTTTTCCCACCTACATGACTGTAAATCAAATATTTAATAGCTCTTACTTAAAAAAACAGATACAAAGAATGTCTTGATTTGGTGTGCTCATTTACCATAATGTCATGAGGGGAATTAGATTTCACAACTTTAAAAGGAATATATTTTTATTTTATTTTGAAAAACTGAGTCATATAGGAATTTTCTTATACTTCAAGGCATCATGGAAACACTTTTTTCCTGTTTGGATATTGTGGAATTTAAACGTTCAAATAAATAAATGGCATAACTAAGTGTTCCAAATTTTTTTACAATGTCTTTGACCCTATTCAAACACTTTAGGTATTTACTGACCGTCTGATGTGTAAGATGTGGAATAAAACTGGAATCAATTAATTATTTCACTGTGTTATCAGCGCAAGATCAACCATCTGGGTTTCTTAAAGACACCCGAAGGATTGAATTTTGTTTCAGTATTGATAATGGCATAGTCTCTATGTGCTACATGGAATTACATCATTTATCCCTCCAGTGCCCTATATGTTGATAAGTATGTCAGTTTGACTTAGTATACATATATACAGAGATTTCATTACATTTACCTAATAAATACAAAATACATTTCGAGTGTTACTGATCTCCTATGTTACATGAGCCTCCTGTAATCATTGTGCATTGATGTTCCAATGTTTTATTGTTTGTATGAATTTTAATTTGAAAACAAGGAAACAATCCAAAAGCAGAAAAAATAGCTTTTCTTAAAATTTTCAGTGCTACATTTTCCCTCTGAGGTCCATAGAGATTTGAATGTATAGGAGATTATCCGAAAACAGCTATTTTGATTAAAAAATATATCTCCCAGGATTCAACCAACTTAATGATGAAGTACTATTGTCTACTGCTTTATACATAAAAGGGAACTTTTTATCTGCTTGTAAAGGGATTTTTATGTGTATTTCTGCATAATCAGATGACTTCTATTGTGTTTTCTACTGATGAAATTCTCTGTAAAATGTCTTTTTCTTACATTATCCAACAGGCATAAAGAATAACAGTAAAGACTTTTGTGTTTGTAATACTACCTCTTTTATCCCTGCACTACTGTTTTATTGCAAAAATTCTATATTGTCACTGTATTTTTTCCATAGAATATAAATTTTGTTCTTGTGCTAAAGCTGGTAGTTTATGTAGCAGACAAAATATACAAATAAAAGAAGAGACTGATTTTGCTGAAAGAATTATATATAATCAAGAAGTTACATATTGTTCTTTAAATATGATACTGAATTTTAAAAGCAAACGAAATTCAAGAATCTTATCTAACAGCATAGCAGTTGCTTATGGCATACAAGGCTAAAATTAATTCAGCTATTTAATCTTAATAATTATTATGTAGTTAAAAATCTTTGACTTTAATAGTGTTTTACATATACAAATAGCTGAAGTAACATTCCTATAATTTTAATCTGACATTGGTTAGATCAAGAAAACATTGTTAATAAGACTGTAGAATTTGTAATTATTGCTATTTTTCATTTTTAATAACAAAGTAATGTGTCTTATTTTCTAAGAAAATGGAGAACTTTGGTGTACTTTAATACATACAAAAATCTTTGTAAAAATACCTTAAAATGTACCAATATTTTCTTTGCATATATTAAATGAAAGACTATAATTATGAAATGTTTTACAGTTTTTGTTCTGCCTTTGTATATAGACTGCACTGGAAAACAGAGAATGTGGGTTAATCATTTGAAAGGATATTTAAAACAGTCACCAGACATCACAGCTGACAACTACTCACTACATAGTCCATGCTGAAAATGATGATTCAATATTTCCCTATTAATGAAAATAATTGTTACATTCTTTAATATGGTCTCCTGCCATCTGCTTCACCATGCTGTTATGGCTTTGATTTATGGAAAATATTTATCAGAATGTTGCTAAATTGCTAATAGGCATAATGGTAGCAGTGAAATCACTAAGAAACTCTGCAAAACCTTTTAATATACTAGATGGTCCCCAGACAATCTAGGATAAATAGAATACTGTATTTTAATATGTAAATCATCTTAAAGCTGCTAATTGGTATTGACTAGACCTATCCTTTGATAATGAAATTAATAAGGATTTCAGTTGTGTTAAGACTTTCTAATATTTAATACCATGTTTATGAAATTTTTCCCTCCATACTTTATTTTAAAATACTAAAACAGGACTGCTCAGAGTTAACCATAAAGGGTGGTATTCTATGTTCAAATATAGGTTCTTTGCTTTTTTTAAAAAAGTGATATCATATGAATATTTTTCTTAAAGTATTATCAATGCCCAAAATACTGATCATTATAATAATCTTTGTATGGAAAGAATAATCTAATACAGGTAAAAATAAGTCAGGATGACTTCTTAAACAGTATATAGGCTGAAAATTTGGATGACTGAATGGTTTTGATACTTGATTGTTTATTGTATGTGTATGTACATCTGTGGTGTGTTTGGGCATACATATACGTGTCCATGTGGGAGCTTATTTAAAACGTTTTATAACTCTTCAATATTAGAAAAGACTGCATATAAGAATATGTTCTTCTTTGTTATTCTTTTAGCCCTAGAAAAATCCTTAAGCTAAAAAGAATATGTTATTCTTTATTGGAAAATACATGTAGCAAATACTGAAGCTGTCTCCAAATCTTTCCTATTAGAAACACACACACACACACACACACACACACACACACACATATCATACATCATACCCCTTACCATGAGTTGAGTTTAAAGGTGGAAAAGATGAAAAAAGTTGTAATAGGTTTTAATATTTTTGGTAAAATAATATTTGCAGCTATAAAACATTAAGATCTAATACAAGCATTGATTTTATTGACCATCAAAAGGAAGATTAAAACCCTCTAAAAAGTTATTACTGTCACCTGCAGAGTTCTAGCTATGTGGTAGTGAAGTAGTAAAATACAATAAGGCTTATTGGTTAAGTAATGGATGCCTATCATTTTAAATATGTATCAGTTTCATTAATTGGCAACCATAAGACAAAAGTATTACATTTGAGATAGTGATGATTTTGATAGGCTCGACCACATTGTGGTTAAGTATATGATTCACGTAATAAGAAAAAGGTGCCTGCAGGCTATTGTTCCTAGCGTGGATTAAAATTTACATATTGCTTCTCCTTATGTCAAAACATCTGGTGCTTGCAAATGCTAACATTTTGTTAAAAAGTTTCACAAGCCAGGAAAAGTGGATTGGAAACACTGCATGTGAGTCATTCAAGCATTATAATAGAATAAAAGCTATGTTCAGAAAAAATTAAATTGCTGAAAACCAATACTATAGTCGAGATTATAATTTATTTGCTTACACAAGTGAAGAGTGATGTGCATATGTGTAAAGAAAAAATATTGCTTGAGTTACATGGTTATCTCTTAAGAAATAGTTATTTCATATATTTATATGGAACAAGCAGGCCTCTAAGTTCTTCAAGACTTTGCAATCACTTGTAATGTTAGAAGCAGTAGGTGGTTGTGTAAAATCGATTCTGATATTCCTAAGGACAGGAAGTAGGATATATCTGAGGCATTATTTATTCTAGCATTAAATTTCTATTTATTCATTGGTAAATATAAAAAGTAGAATTGAGATGTAGATTTATTACTTTTTCCACACAGGTCCCCAGATCAATAAAGTCAGTCAGTCTTGGCAACTCCCATATTCATCTGGCCTTCTGTTCTTTAATCTAACAAGGCTACTCAACATTTTCCTACTTTGAAGGCTTTCCCTCACCACCCCAGTCAACAGTTAACGTCACCATTGTCTTTTCTGGCAATCCCAGTCAGCTGGTACTTAAATTCTATCTTTGTATTGCTTTTTATCTTTGTATGGCTAATACATACATTACCTTTCTCACTAGATGGATGGGCACTCGAGGCAAAACATATACCTTAGCTTTCTTTTATTCTACATCACTTAACATGCTAATTTCTTAGTAAATAATTAAGTGATGGGTAATTTTAGGTAAGGAAAGTATGCAAGTGCCGAATTCTTCAATCAGATAATAAAATGGCGTTCACTCAAGGCTGTGACCATTCATTGAAATGTTTACCTTTCAATCTTTCTTTGCAATTATCTCTATTACAGTGAGATAGGAATTTTTGTGTTCTTTGGGCTTATAACTTTGAGAAATGAAAATAACATTAACTTTTGCAAAACTTGATATAGAGAATATTCCTATTCTAGAATTATTCATTGATTCACTTACTGTTCCTTTAATGAGCATCTCCCAAGGAACAGTGGTTGTTGCTGAAGAGAACATAAAAAACAAAAGTCACTGAAATCTTCCAATAAGGTTTAGTAAATATGATGGTAGCAGAGCTAAGGGTATTATGGAAGCAAACATTGGTGCATCTAAACCAGTCTCAGGGAAACTGATACCTCAAGGCAGAGCAAGAGCTAGCTTGGTACAGAGGGGAGGTGAGAGAGAGAGAAGGGGGAGAGGTCCTTTAAGCACAAGCATCCAGTGAGTTTACAATTATTCATTCAGGGGGCTCATCAATGGTTTTAATACCCTGGGGTTTCAGAAGATTTGGATTTATTTGGAGTTATTACTTTAAAAAGGCTCTTAGTACACAAAACCCAGGTTGTTTTGTGTACTAAGGAAAACTCAGGAAGGGGGCACTTGGTCAGAGGACCTTTGTGTCACTTCTCCTAGGCAGAGTAAGAGAGTGTATATTTCAGTGTGTGTCTAAGTGTGTGTGGTTCACTGTATCAGTGAACGAAGCTAGTTTACTGCTATCCTTCCCAGCTAGTTTACTGTCCCTGTCTGGGATAAGGGTTTTTTTTTTGTTTGTTTTTTTCTTGTTAGTTTTAAGCATATAGTTAACCGTATGCTTACAGCTAGCAGTTTGCTCTTTTAAGTACCTCTCCCACACTGTCTATGAATGCCCAATAGTACTCAATAACACTTTGCCTATTTTCTTTAATAGCCCACGTATATCATTTAAGAAACATAGTAGGAAAAGAAACTACATAAGTAGAAAATTATACTATATTATTGGATAGGAAGACAACATAAAGGTATCAGTTCTCCCTATGTAAATTCATACATTTTATGGATATAAATAGAAAAGCCAATAGGTGTTTGTAAAGAAGACAAGTTGCCATAACACTTTATAAAGAAAGATAAGCAAATAAGAAGTAAAAGAAATAGCTGAAAAAGAAAAGTAATGAGAAAAGTCAAGGGCTACCAGACGTTAAAACATATCTTTTTTTTTTTTTTGGAGATGGAGTCTCGCTCTGTCGCCCAGGCTGGAGTGCAGTGCCGCGATCTCGGCTCACTGCAAGCTCCACCTCCCGGGTTCAAGCCATTCTCCTGCCTCAGTCTCCCGAGTTGCTTGGACTACAGGCGCACGCCGCCACGCCCGACTAATTTTTTGTAATTTTTTTTTTAGTAGAGACAGGGTTTCACCGTGTTAGCCGGGATGATCTCTATCTCCTGACCTTGTGATCCGCCCGCCTCGGCCTCCCAAAGTGCTGGGATTACGGACGTGAGCCACCGCGCCCGGCCTAAAACATATCTTAAAGTCTCACTAATTAAAACTTTGTGGAATGGGAAATGAATAAACAGTTCATAGGACATAGATAAGCCTAAATGCATATTGGAATTATACGTAAAGGAAATCATTACAAATCAGTATAGACGAGACTATTCTATAAATGGTGTGTAATCACATCAAATGGCCATGAGATTTATGGTACATCTATTAAATAGAGTAGAATGTTTTTGCAATGAGGAATGGAGAAAAAAACACCCTGTGTTCTGATATAAAAAGTTCCCTGGGATTGATTTTTTACTTAATACTATATGGAGTAGAGTTGCATGTAGAATGCTGTCTTCTTTCTTGGTGGTGAAGAGTGAAAGATAGGGATATGCATACATATTTGCTATACATGCAGGAATGAACTGTGGGAAGATGTATAGGAACCTAACAGCCGTGTTATTGGGGGAGAAGATGTGGGAATATTTTTATTACATACCTTTTAAAAATTTTTTGAAGCATACAAATGTATTTATTCAAAGAAAAAATTAAGATGCATAGTATGCTTATATTGATGGTTTCTTTTTCTTTTTTTATTTTTATTTTTTATTGTGCTTTAAGTTCTAGGGTACGTGTGCACAATGTGCAGGTTTGTTACATATGTATACATGTGCCATGTTGGTGTGCACACCCATTAACTCGTCATTTACATTAGGTATATCTCCTAATGCTTTCCCTCCCTCCTCCCCCCACTCCATGACAGGCCCTGGTGTGTGATGTTCCCCTTTCTGTGTCCAAGTATTCTCATTGTTCAATTCCCACCTATGAGTGAGAACATGCGGTGTTTGGTTTTCTGTTCTTGCGATAGTTTGCTGAGAATGATGGTTTCCAGCTTCATCCATGTCCCTACAAAGGACATGAACGCATCCTTTTTTATGGCTGCATAGTATTCCATGGTGTATATGTGCCACATTTTCTTAATCCAGTCTATCATTGATGGACATTTGGGTTGGTTCCAAGTCTTTGCTATTGTGAATAGTGCCACAATAAACATACATGTGCATGTGTCTTTATAGCAGCATGATTTATAATCCTTTGGGTATATACCCAGTAATGGGATGGCTGGGTCAAATGGTATTTCTAGTTCTAGATCCTTGAGGAATCGCCACACTGTCTTCCACAATGGTTGAACTAGTTGACAGTCCAACCAACAGTGTAAAAGTGTTCCTATTTCTCCACATCCTCTCCAGCACCTGTTGTTTCCTCACTTTTTAATGATCACCATTCTAACTGTTGTGAGACGGTATCTCATTATGGTTTTGATTTGCATTTCTCTGATGGCCAGTGATGATGAACATTTTATCATGCGTCTGTTGGCTGCATAAATGTCTTGTTTTGAGAAGTGTCTGTTCATATCCTTTGCCCACTTGTTGATGGGGTTGTTTTTTTCTTGTAAATTTGTTTGAGTTCTTTGGAGATCCTGGTTATTAGCCCTTTGTCAGATGAGTAGATTGCAAAAATGTTCTCCCATTCTGTAGGTTGCCTGTTCACTCTGATGGTAGTTTCCTTTGCTGTGCAGAAGCTTTTTAGTTTAATTAGATCCCATTTGTTAATTTTGGCTTTTGTTGCCATTGCTCTTGGTGTTTTAGCCATGAAGTTCCTGCCCATGCCTATGTCCTGAATGGTATAGCCTAGGTTTTCTTCTAGATTGTTATGGTTATAGGTCTAACATTTAAGTCTTTAATCCATCTTGAATTAATTTTTGTATAAGGTTTAAGGAAGGGATCCAGTTTCAGCTTTCTACATATGGCTAGCCAGTTTTCCCAGCACCATTTATTAAATAGGGAATCCTTTCCCCATTGCTTGTTTTTGTCGGGTTTGTCAAAGATCAGATGGTTGTAGATGTGTGGTATTATTTCTGACAGCTCTGTTCTGTTCCATTGGTCTATATCTCCGTTTTGGTACCAGTACAATGCTGTTTTGGTTACTGTAGCCTTGTAGTATAGTTTGATGTTAGATAGCATGATGCCTCCAACTTTGTTCTTTTGGCTTAGGATTGTCTTGGCAATGTGGGCTCTTTTTTGGTTCCATATGAACTTTAAAGTCATTTTTTCCAATTCTGTGAAGAAAGTCATTGGTAGCTTGATGGGGATGGCATTGAATCTATAAATCCCCTTGGGCAGTACAGCCATTTTCACGATCTTGATTCTTCCTATCCATGAGCATGGAATGTTCTTCCATTTGTCTGTGTCCTCTTTTATTTCGTTGAGCAGTGGTTTGTAGTTCTCCTTGAAGAGGTCCTTCACATCCCTTGTAAACTGGATTCCTAGGTATTTTATTCTCTTTGAAGCAATTGTGAATGGGAGTTCACTCATGATTTGGCTCTCTGTTTCTCTGTTATTGGTGTATAAGAATGCTTGTGATTTTTGCACTTTGATTTTGTATCCTGAGACTTTGCTGAAGTTGCCTATCAGCTTAAGGAGATTTTGGGCTGATCTGATGGGGTTTTCTAAATATACAATCATGTCATCTGCAAAGAGGGACAATTTGACTTCCTCTTTTCCTAATTGAATACCCTTTATTTCTTTCTCCTGCCTGATTGCCCTGGCCAGAACTTCCAACACTATGTTGAATAGGAGTGGTGAGAGAGGGCCTCCCTGTCTTGTGCCAGTTTTCAAAGGGAATGCTTCTAGTTTCTGCCCATTCAGTATGACGGTTTATTTTTCTAATCTCCTGTTTCGTTCTCTTCATTCACCCATAGTATTTTCTGCAATGTTGGCTTTCAATGTTTGACCAGTAACAGTTCTAAGTTTCTTTTTTGAAGACAGCAAAGGCAGAAAAAAAAAATAAAACAGACATGCAGTATTTGCATTTATATTTTGGGAAGATTCTTAGAAATAACTAGATTTCTGCCCTAATACAAACATTAGTTTTAACAGCCTTGTGGTGGAATAATGTTCCCACAAATATGGCCACATTCTAATCCCTGGAACATGTAAATATGCTACCTTACATTGCAAAGGAGACTTTGCAGATGTGTTTAAATGAAATGAGAAGTTATCCTGCATTATCCAGGTGAGCCTAATCTAATCACATAGAACCTTAAAAGCAGAGAATAATTCCTGCTGTGGTAAGAATGTGTGATTTTATCATTCTCTTGATTCCCAACACTCAGCTGAGAGGGAAGTAGTTATGTTACTTGTCACCATCGCAAAACTAGATCTAGGACTAAAATCCCACGTATCCAGGTTTCAGCCGAATGTGCTATTTTGCAGATTTTAGGAGCTCTGCTTCACTCTAGAAACAGCTGATATAGGGCTTACAGTGCAATTATTTCAATTATTTCTTCAATGCAGGTTTCCTGGATGAATATGACTTAAGTTTGACAGCTGGTGGAGGTGCATAGTAAATAATTAGTTCAGGATTTTATAGCCTAAACAAGAGGAAAGTCACAAGGCCTATATAGACTGGGGCTTTAAAGCACCCAATATAGAGTGATGGGGGTAATAAGCCTAGCTAATTTGAGGGTGCAGTGGAATTGTGGTAGACTTTGTAGACCACTGGAGAGAACATGAAGGAGATGCTGTTATGGCTGCTAGCAAAAATACCATGACTGGATGGTTTAACAAAACAGAAATTTATTTCTCACGGTTCTGGAGGCTGAGATATCCAAGATCAAGGTGCCAGAAAATTTAGTGTCTGGTGTGGGCCCACTTCCTGGTCCAGAGGCCACCATCTTTTCATCATCCTCAGTTGGCAGAAAGAGAAAACAAGTTTTCTATGGCCTCTTTCACAAAAGCACCAGTTCCATTAAGGAGGGCTCTGCTCTCTTGCCTTAATCATCTCCCAAAGACACTATCTCATAATACCATCACCCTGGGGGATAGGGCTTCAGCGTGTGAATTTTGGAGGCACACAAATATTTAGTCTATAACAGATGGAGACTGCTCATGGTAGAGTTGGTATTGAAGACCAGGGAAATGCGTATGGTCTTGGAAAAGGCAAAACCAGAAAAGGATGGTTAGAGGAGTCAAGAATGAAAGGGAGTTAAGAGGAGGGGAAAGAAGGAAAAGGAGGAATAAGAGCAAATAGGGGAGTGGCAGCAGGAGGAAAAGGATGAAAAAGTGAAGACAAAGATAAACAAATTCAATGAAAATATCTGGTTTCTTTAATTACTGAAGTGAGGAACGAGAAAAGTTGTTTTGAATGACTTTTTGGTTTTCAGATTGTATTACTCCATTCTAGATATTATTGTTTTCAGCAACTTTTCTGAGTAACTTTGCTCACTTTCAATATTTTTTTTTCAGACAGAGTACATTCATTTAACAAGTAAGAAAATGCAAAGCGTTTCCTGGGATGAATTTCTTGGAGACTGTCAGATGTCATTCTGAGGCAGTATGTAATATTTGAGAGTCCTACACTCTTTGTTGTAAGGCAAACTTAGTTCAAGTCCTTTCTCTACAGTTTAAGGGGCACATGACTGTGAAGGTTTATTTCACCTCTGTGCATCAGTCTCCTCATGTGTAAAATGGGAACAAGTTTAATAACCAGCATAGTAAATTTTTGCTGAGGATTAGTAAATGAGAGAAGGTGCATAAAGAATTTAGCATTATCTCCTGCATACATTTAGTACCCCATAAATAATAGCTATTATAATTATCATAAAAAATGAGGTTCTGGGACAGGTGTGGTAGCTAACACCTATAATCTCAGTGATTTGGGAGGCCAAGGTGGGAGGATTGCTAGAGTCTAGGAGTTCAAGACCAGCCTTGGCAACATTGTGAGACCTTGTCTCTACAACTATTTAAAAATCAGCTGGGTGTGGCGGCACATGCCTGTGGTCTCAGCTACTTGGGATGCTGAGGTGGGAGGCTCGCTTGAGCTCAGGAGGTGGAGGCTACAGTGAACCATGAATGTACCACTGCACTCCAGCCTTAGTGACAGAGCAGGAACCCATGTCAAAAAGGAGAAGAAGAAGAAGGAGGAGGAGGAGGAGGAGGAGGAAAGATTCTTCTTTCTATTGCCATTTCTTGTCACATGTTTATTTATTTTTTAAGTGAGATTCTCAGAGGTATGTTGTTTCTGTAGTTTCTAATAATGCATTGCAGCATTTCTTTCTGCCTGCCTATCTATTCATCCATCTACGCATCCACTAAACAACTTCTTTATTACAGTTAAAGTGCATAAGATTAATAAGATTGCACTATATTGCATAACCCAGAACTGCTTCTAGCTCTAAGTTATTTGCATTTTTCACCACAAAAGGTGGTATTTGAATTCAGTGTTAGACATTACTATAGACACAGGGACACGGTAGTTAATAAGACCAAGATCTTGCCTTCCATTAGCTTACATTTAAATAAGGAAGATAGGCAATAAACAAAAAATTAGTAAATGGTAATTATCAGTAATATTTGTACTGAATTATCTTTATACCTTTGTTGAAAATCAATTGTCTATATATTTGTGAGTATATGTCTGGGCCCTCTATTCTAGTCTATTCATCTCTTTAATTAATTTATGTCAATACAACACTGTCTTGATTTCTGTACTTTTATAAACAAGCCTTGAAAGCACATAGTGTAAGTTCTAAAACTTTTTTCTCTTTTTAAGGTACTTTACATTTCTACATCAATATCAATTTTAGAATTTTAGAATCAATTTTAGAATCACATTAATATCAATTTTTTCAAATAGACAACTGGAATTTTAGCTGGAATTGTTTTGAATACATAAATCAATTTCAGGAGAAGTGGCAACTTAACAATATTGAGCCTGCCAACCCATGAAAGTAGGTCTCTTTCCATTTATTTAGTTTCTCTTCAGTCTCCCTCGGTGCTGTACTTTTTGGTGTATAATTTTTTGTCATATTTATCCCGAATATTTCATATTTTGATGCTAATGTGAATGGTATTTTTATTTCAACTTCTCATTTTTTGTTTCCAAAATATAGAAATGTAATAATTTTTTATAAATTTATTTTGAGGTATGCAACTTTGCTAATCTCACTCACTAGTCCTAACAGTTTGTCAGATATTCTACATACATGATCATGTTGTTGATGAATAAAGATAGCTTTAATTATTCCCCTAAAATGTGGAAGCCTTTTATTTATTTTCCTTTTCTGGCTAGCTTGTTGGCCAGAACTTACAGTACAAGTTGAACAAAAGTAGTGAGAGCAGACATCCTTTCTATTCCTGATCTTTAGGGAACAAATATTGTCTTTCACCATTAAATATGTTTGCTGTAGGTCTTTCATGGATACCTTTTAATAGGTTAAGGAAGTTTCCTTCTGGGTTAAATATTACACCAACATTTCTTGACTTAAAATGTCATTTATTATACCACAGTTTCTGTGGGCCAGAAATCCAAACATGACTTAAAGCTATCTTTTGACTGAATCTCTATAAGTTTGCAGTCATCTCAAGGTTCAATTTGGAAAGATCCATTTCCTAGCTCACTTGCACGGATGTTTTGTTCTGGAATGGAATTAGGTTACTTGGAAATAGTTTGATCCTTTTGGGACTTGCTTTACAATTTTTTTGGAATCTGGGACAGTGCTCAATCTAGTCTAATTGTTTTCCACTACTGAGGCAAACCTTTCTAAGTACTATACACAAAGCCTGTGAAGAATGAAGTTTTGTTTGTTTTTCCGTTTGGCTAGTGGAATAGGCACTATTCCCAGTCTTGCGTCTGTTCCATGGATTTGTTTTTTTTTTTCTCTGATCCTTTCAGTAATACTTCCCTCAGCTTGGATAGTTGAAGCACATGCATTAATCAATATTCTGCTGAATACTCAAGAGAGGCCCTATGAGATTTCTGAATTTCTCTCTTTGTCCAGTTCTTTCCTCTTTAGTACTCTTTTTGTAAACTTGACCTGCCTTTGTCTCTCCAGATTCTTAGGTCTGTCTCCTTAACTCAGGAAGTCTCTTGAATTCCACTTAGGTTACCCTCCTTGTTCAATGGCTCTGAAACTGTCTCAAGGCAGTGAGCTGGGGCAGTTATGAGGCTCACTTCATTTTTATTCTATCTCGCATGGACCACTTTTGCTTCCTGATGTCCAGTCTCTTTTCCAGTTGTTTCTTTTTCATATGTTCTATCTGTATCTTAAAAAATATGATTAATACTTCAAGTGGGTGCAGAAATCAGTTTCTTGTATTTCAACTACAGAAGCCTGTAACTTGCTTTTTAAAGGCATATACAAGAAAGAACATTAACATACAGCCCTCAAAAAAGAAATACATGTGTTAAAAACAATAAGTCTTAAAAATAATTTTTTAAAGTGCGGCATGGTTGAAAAATAATTTGCATTTTCCTATATATGCAGATAAAATTTTTTTTTCATTTTTTAAAAGTGCTTTTTCTGCTGAGTGCAGTGGCTCTCATACCTGTAATCCCAACACTTTGAGATGCCAAGGAGGGAGGATCATTTGAGCCCAGGAGTTTCAGACCAGATTAGGCAACATACCGCAACCTTGCGTTATTTTAAAAAACAGACAAACAAACACAACAACAACAACAAACATTTTTTTCTTTACCATGAGCCTCCACCTGTTAGAACCATATGCAGTTAGACCTACCAGTGATTAATCTACTTTTAAAATTTAAACATTCTCTCTGTTCAAATTTTATTTCATGATACCTGGTCCTGGACATGATACGGCAGCTGAGATTAGACTTGGCTTCCCACTGTAAATAAAAAAAAATAATTAATTAAATGAAACAATGGTTTGGAGCATTGATAAGCTTCCAAGATAGGGTTACAATTTTTGAGAAGAAAATCCAAAAGGTGAGTCCTTCGTTAAGAAATTAGGGAAATAGAGGCCAAGCGGAAACATTGATTGGGATTTGGAGCTGACTGACAACCAGGATTTGGAGAGCATAGTACTAGAGAATAGAACACTGCAGATAAAGATACTTACAAAATCTGCATAAAATCCCTCTCAGGGCCCTTAGCTGATGCCTAAGCTGTACATGCACAGAGCAAGTCTCTGGGAAGCATAGCATAACACATTTGCTAGGAGGCCAGAGAACTGAGCATAAATTTCAGAAGCAGAGAGTATTATAAATAAATTAAAGTGCAAGTCCAGATAAAGTGGAGAGTTCTTAGTAAATATCTTAGGATTGTAGTTGAGAAAGTCTAAGCCCTAGGAGTAAGAAGTATGCCCTAAGAGTTATGATGGTTCTGTCGTAGGAGTAATGGTAAAGCTGAATCATATTCACTTTTAGAAATCCTAAAAGCAATGTTTGACAGCTGCAAGTTCCCCTCCAAAAATTTAACATTTTGCAAAAGAAAATTTCATACTCTTCAGAGGAAAATAATAGAATCCAGATTTTTTCTAATATATTTTTCATAAATTTGAAATATATTCCCATATCACCAAATATGTAAAGGGGCAAAAAACAATGTTACTGGCAATCAAGAAATTCTTTATAAAGTCAATAAAAGCAAACTCAGGGATAACCCTAACGTTAGATTTAGTGGAAAAAGGCTTCCGAGTAACTGAGATTCCTATTTTAAAGAAAATAGAGAAAAATAAAAACAAAATGCATAAGAAAACTTCAGTGAAGAATGAGAGCTTGTAAATAAGGATTAAATGAGTTTTATAGAACTGCAAAATGCAACATCTAACTTTAAAAACATGTTGAATGGGTCAAATGGCTTACTCTATGTAGCAGAATATAGGATTAGCAAGCCTAAGAACATGCCAGTAGGACAATATTAAAACTGAAGTCATAGGGAAAAAATAGTTGAAAACACCTAGGGAAAAAATGCTTGAGATACATGTGACACTCTAAAAAGGCCTAATATATTTGTAATTGAAATCACAGATGGAGAGGAAAAGATCATGAAACCAAAACAATATTTGAAAAAAATGAAGGCCAAGTTTTTTCAAAATCTGATGGAAGATAATATGTGAAGAAATAAAGGCCAAGATTTTTCTAAATTGTATGAAAGATATCAACTCACAGAACCACAGTGAACCCCATGAATACAAAGAAAAGCTTTCTCTCTGCACTATGGTCTTTGATCTTTAGACTTGACCCTTCATATTTTAAGTGTTTTGAAAAAGATCCTTTCTCTCTCAACAAAGCTTAACTTTCCAAATATTTTTACTTCTGCAAAAAATACTATTTTGGATTTGAAAACTAAATAAAAACTTTTCTTTCTCTTTCTATTTCTGGGATAGCAATTCTAACATTCTCATAAGCAAAATGAATGCCCTTCTAAGAGCAGAAAGAGAAGAGCCTAAGGAAATACAAAGGAAAAACATCATTATTAAGGTTAAACAATGTATTATCCTTGTTGAAATCTCAAATTTAAAGATATATGAAGGATGAAAATAGGTATTAAGATGGCACTTTTATCACTACTTAGGAAGTGTAAATTGTATATACTCAAACTACATGGCATTATATATCAGAAAACTTTGAATACTTAATACATTTAACTCTAATTTTATTTCTCTTAATATTTCTTAAGGAAACAGTTCCAGGTACAAGGATTTGAAAGTATGATTATTCTAACCTTTATACCAACAGCAGCAAAATATGAGAAACAACATAAATTTCTTATAGATTTGAATGATTAATCATTCTTATTTTGAAAAAGTATAGTTTAAAAAACATTAATTATTTTAAAACTAAGTGTATTATATATTTACAACTATGTGTATTATATTATAAATGTGTAGTGTAAATACATATATTCACATATACATATATGTATATAACATATATGTACATATAATCATAAGTGCAGAATATTATTTATTTTAAAATTGTAACTGAATGATATAATAATGTTAATATTGATTACTTTTGGCTGCAAGACTGTAATACAAAATTATTTTCTTCTATACATGCTACTGCATTTCCCAACATTTCTGCAGTGATGGACGTCTCATACTCCTCCCTTTTACGTACCCAGAATTTCTCACTTTGCTGCTCTTGTGCCTTGACTAAGCTCCTCCAGGATGGCCATCCTTTGTATCTCTGCATGCTAATTTTACCTCATCTTAGAAGCTTTCTAGAGAACCTCTAGCTGGAAGTCATCTTTCTCATGTCTAAACTGTTATAGCACATTATTTCTACCCATTTTAATATTTAAATAAATCAATTCTAGAGTTATTCCCAGAAAAAGGACTTTAAAAATAATCTGTATATTATTTTATATCTACATTTATTATTTTATACCACAATACCCGCATGTGGTACATAATTCTAATGGTATTTCAAATGTAATCACTACCTTTGTAAATAAATGCAGATAGCTTATTAGTCAATTATTCTATTTTCTTTTGAAAGTATGAGATTAGAATGAATTTGTTTCTGTGGAAAGGGAAATATAATAGCAACAAGCCTAAAATGAAAGGACACGACTCTGACAGGTGATAATCCAGATAAATAATTCTGGAATGCCTTATTTTATTCATGGGAAACTAGGGGTAAGCTTGGATGTTTACAGCTATTGCTGGTTATTGCCTGAGACAGAAAGGTAGGAGGTGCTCAAGTCTTAACCTATTTTAGAATTTGATGAGGATTGACCTCATTTAGGGAAATTAATCTGAAGAATCCAAAGGCCCACTTAGAATATTCTGAAATTACTTGTGTTATCCCACTATATGTTATTTTATTTTAGTTTCTTTGAGAAAAAATAACATTTAAAATAATAGATGAAAGAACTGTGTTGGCATCAAATCGGGCCATCTGGTTTGGTTACATAGATACATCCACTAAGACAATTTACTCATAATAACAGAAGGATGCAGCTAAAAAAGACAGAAGACTGGAATTCCTCTCCATCATCAAATATGTGCCCAGAATAGTTGAAGAATTACCATTATCATTTTATCCCACCAGAAAAGAAATATTTAAGTCCATATTATTTCAGAGCTTCAGAATGGCTATGTATCTACAAAAACCAGTCAGTTCAATGGAAAAATAACTTCATTTTTATTATATTTTTAGAGAGCATTAACAGGTTGGTTGACCTTTTACACTCTTCAGTTTATTTTTAGAGCATCATGCTACATAGTAATTGTGGTGTTATTTCTCTTTAATTTTGTACTAATAAGCTTTATTAATAACCCATATGCTAGTAGCCATATGCAGATAGTATTTTGTGGTTCTAACGATTGGGTAATGTATGAACTGCCAGAATATGCTCTAACTATTATAGTTTACTCTCAGAGAACATAAATCCTTTTTCCAGAATGACAGATATTCTACAACCCTGGATTTCTTATTTTATCCCAAAACACATCTTCTTACATAAGAGTAAAAGAAGCTTGTAAATATCAAGAAAAATGACATTTCCATATATCTATTTTGTAATACTTTATCCCCAATTACAAATAACAATACATGCATGTGGTACATAATTCTAATGGTATAATCCAGTCTTAGTGTTTTACTGCCATTCATAAACTGCTTCAGCAGAACTACTTGTGATTTATAGCATCAATAGAACCCTTTAAATTACATCCTATATTATGTTGTAGGGCATGTATTGCCCTATAGTCTCACATGCAATGTCAGAGACAGAGGGAAGGAGAAATGGAGAATTGTGATTTCACTGTAAATCAAAGGCTAAGTGTTGTTTATGAGCACTGGGATTTTAGCACATGATATCATTTTACTTTTTTCCCCCTTATAGCAGTTAACCTGATGCAGGACAAAAAATACAATCAATAATTATTTACACTTTAATGTACTTGGCATCAATAAGTAAAGTCAAGTACTAAACATATACTTTGTTTTCTTACAAATTAGTCTTTAATTTTAAAAATTTGTTGGATATTTACTGTATGCATGGAAAGAATATTTATAGATGTTTGTATTTAATTCAATGTCATGTATACATTGTAAGCACTCTACAAATATTTGTTGACTTTCCATTAGTTTTAAAAATAAAGTTCCCAAATTAAATAAATTTGTCTGTTGGTATTTAACGAAGAATGTAAAGCAATGAAACTTGCATTTGAGAAGCTATCTATAGTCACCAATAAACTTGTTCATATTTAGTCTGGATTTTATGTTTTAACAAGAAAAAAGTCAGACATTCAAACACAAAAGTTGAATTTAGAAGAAACAGTAAAATCATTTCATGACCAAATATTCAAAGTATTAATATCATCTTTACTGTTATGTTTTAGACTTACAATGACAATTGTGGTTTTTTCAAAGCATTTTAGGATAGTTTGACCTTGATTTTTCACTGCATAAAGCTGTCTTTTTACCTCAGATTTTCCCCCCAAAGTCTGAGTCTAATAATAAACCTAAGTAGTTAGAGATAAGAGCAATCATTTGTGATTCAAATGTGAACATTTCATCTGAGCATAACCAGATGACTTACCTGGGGTAAAACAGTGTAGGA
Organism: Homo sapiens; assembly: GCF_000001405.40. Classification (NCBI taxonomy): domain Eukaryota; kingdom Metazoa; phylum Chordata; class Mammalia; order Primates; family Hominidae; genus Homo; species Homo sapiens. Next base: position 115,918,903 of record NC_000007.14, on the reverse strand, counting down.
GGCAGACAAAATCAGGGGGAAGAGACAGAGAAAACCAAAAATTTTGGTCTTGTAACCATCACTTACTTCAGTATATACATAGAGAGGTGTGCCTGCTTCCTCCAATGAATATTACCTTGTCTATTCCATTTATGATAATTTATGTGTACTGTGAGGGGATTTGATATCTCTAACTCCTGTTCATACCACATCACTGCAGCAACCGTGCACAATTTCTATCAACAAAAGCTATGTACATAGATTAGAAAAAGTCATGTTAAAAAATAGAATCTCAAGCCCATTTGGATTGAATTAATCCCTAAAAAGGCTGTTAAAAAAAGTCAAAGAAGTAGATAGGGTTATTTCTACATTCTATGTGTCTAATATTTACCTGCAGGCATATAGGAAATAATTCTTAAATAACTATGGCTACTTAAAATTTACAGAATTGAACCTGTGCAGAGAGCAGTTGATCTTAAACTGACACAAACCAGATAGTCTCTAAATGTTACTCTAAGGAGTTTTAAACTGACTCTGCTAAAGCTGAGGTTATTTGCCTTGGGGATGCCTAATGGAAGGGTTATTATAACACTGTCCACAAATAGGAGCCTTGAGAGAGTCAGACCATAGCACTCCATTGACAGCTAATAGATTGAACCATTGCCATGTCACAGTGATCTCCAAGGCCAAAGGTCATATCTCTCCCTTAATATTTAAATAAAGATACTTGACAAGAGCAGAAAACACCTTATTGCCAGTGATGGCTGCTGCTCAATTTATAAGAACCTTTACAAAGTCATGCTAATTCTTGGCCTTCTTAGAATGCATGGTAACCTTTCATAAATCCATCTTTTCCAGATGTCCTTGGAAATGACAGTTATAAAACTACAAATGATTTGTAATGCAAAATGGGACTGACAGACTTGAAGATTAGGGCTCCATGTACTAAAATGACTAAGATTATAGCTAACAAAAGGCATAAAATGCATTGATAAATAGCTGCCAAAGTAACTCAAGATTATTTTAAACATCCTTAGTAAATGATAGAATGAAAAAAGGAAAACTTATGCTTATAATATTACAAGTAGCAATTTACTTTATGAAGATCATGGAACATAATTTCTCTGTTTGGGTCAGGTAGATGAAAGATAGCAAACCAGTTATGCTTTCCCCACCCCTCCGCCCTGCAGGCAATAGGATACTTTTTTCTCTCATGGTATTTTTACAAAACGTAAACATGTGAACCTCATTTTTTGAATCTTAAGGATTACTAAACTAATTGAACTTATACATGCTTTTTTCTTATCTTTTAAAAAGAAATCAATCAAATATTTTCTTCTGTTAACATATCTAAGGTGAATCACAAATTAAAACCTAATGAAAAACAATTTTTCTACTTAATCTTTATTGCAGAGATGACTTACATTCACAGGATAAGTTGGGGCTATGTGTTTAAGAAGTACATATAAAAAGGATATTTTCAGGAAAATTAGAAGTCAGGAAATAATTTGAAGCAAAACTAGAATGCTGCAGCTTGAGCTATTGAGTAATACATAAGAAATTATTAAATACTACTTTTTAAATCTAATTTTGAATAACCTACATGGTAACCTACCTGCCCTGTGGCACTTCAAGCCTCAGGTATCTGGCCTGCCTCTGAAACCAACAGGATCGTGCTAAGAGCTTCGAGACCCATTATGCTAAAGAGGAAGCTTAAAACTGATCCAATTTCCATATTTTAGTTCTGTTTACTACCTTTCCCTCTTTTTCTTATGTATCTTCTACTTGAGTTTAATTCCTTTCATCTTATTTTCATTTCTTCTCTTCCTGATGGTTGGTCAATAAAAATGAGACTGTGCTCATGGCTGTAACTGCTAGATTTGGGTGGAAAGAACCCTTAAAATCAATAGAAACATTCAGATAGAAGTACTTTATTTGCATTCTGAGAAATTGAAAGTGAGACATAAGCGTATCAATATTAGTGCCTAGAACTAAAATTATAATAAAGACTTTTTTGGTAAAGTATATAATACATCTTTGAAACAGGAAACAATACATTTTCAAGGAATGTCTAAGGTTTTCTGTGAATAGTTATATTCGTCAGAACAAATTTATTCAAAGTAGAAAGTTCCTTTATACACATCTCTGAAAACCGCATGTCTGCTAAGTTTAGGTAACCATAAAATATATTTGACTAACGCATGGAGGAAAGATATTTCCTATTCTTGCTTATTTTTCCACTGCCATAAAATGCACTATCATGTTTACAGTATGTCAGAGTGATGTCACATGCAGAACACTAAAACAGATGATGTTTTCAGTATGTGGGTAAAAAACCTCAGCGCTCACTAGGAGCCCTATAAAACCAAAATATTATATTGAGACTAGGTGGATTGTACTGGACAGACTAAGCCCCTGTGAAAGCCAAGGCATATCTTCCCTGTCACATGGTCGACTTATTCTTTTCTCTCACTCAGTTCATCTTATGAAATGAGTAGGTGGTTGGGTAAGAAAAGCAATGCAGTGTAGGATTGCAATGTGCAAGCTACTGGCCTTTTCTAGACATTTTGAACATCAGGCCTGTAGTGTTTATTTTATTCATTCATCATTAGCTTAACAATTGTTTGTTCACAGGAGCCAGGAAAATTGACCTTTTCTAAATTCTTTGAGAATTTCACCTACAATGTTTGATTGATTGATTCACTCATTCATTCATTCACTCAGCACTCATTGTCTTCCATGTACCAGAAACTCTTCTAGGCACTGTACATAATAAAGATGAGCCATGTATTGCTTCTCCCTTTTAGGACATGATAATCTTCTCTCCATTATACCCTCATCAGATACTTGACCTCTGTTATCTTCATTTTGACTCTCATCTTTAATATGAGCTGATATGCTTTTACTAAAAGAGATAATTTCATTTGTCTTTCTTACCTCACTAAGCTGTGGATTTCTGCAGGAAAAAAAAACTATGCTTCATCTTTGTTATAACCCCAGGAAAAATGTTGTATAAAAATTTTTAGAATGGATAAATAAATTAATGAATGAGTACACTAATAAACACCATTCATAGCAGCAGAATTATGCTTGATCTGTGATCTCCAGCTTGCTGGTCTTCAACTTGAGATACTAAAACATCCCCATGTCACATTATTTTCAATCAACTTAAACATGGTTTTATCCTAAACCTTTCTTGGGGAAAATGTAAAAGAAATAGGCAGAAGGGGAAGCTTATGATTCAAATATGGGTCACAGATGCCCTTGCTTATAGTGTAGCTATGCCTGAGAATAAAATAGACCCAAAGTCAAGATGAGATTCACAGAACTTTCTACATGTGCTACCAAACAAGATCAGTCAGGTTGACTTTTTAAAATTTAACACTTTGTTTAAATGATTCCTTAATTGATAATTCCTCAGACAATTTTTGCCTGGTTCGACCTATTGTTTTCTCTAATTAACATGCATATCAGGTAGTCTGATTGTCTTAAATAATTCTTTATACTATTTCTTCAGTACACACAGGATCCCATCGTCACCCTACCCCCAACACCACCCCACCTCTGATAGCAACACAAAAGCTTTTTGAGTAATATGTTATTCTTTTTTCCTCTTTGTAATACAAACTCAGCCTGGCAGGCACAGTGCGATGTGTAGACTGGGTTGAATCAAAGCAGCATTCTCCAACCTTCTCTGTGTATAGGAAGTGATACTAACAAGAATCAGATTTTCTTGGACCCTTAACAGAGGAAACAACTTCTGGCACAGTAATTCTTTGAACTGGAACCATGAGGGCAAGTACTAATGTATCCTTCTATTGCATGCAATGCTGTATTCACAAAAGCAGTTTCTCTGGCTGTTGAAATGGACTGAATCAGATTTGTGGTGCTAAATTTTTGAGGGTATGTGAATATTTTGATTTATTTTGAAAGACTCTATGTTCACAATTCATCTGGTTAGATCAGGAGTTTCACTTTTGATTCCCTGTAATTTACTGATGGAATTGATTTAACACAGATGTTTAGGGAGATGTCTTATAAATATTTTCATTTGATCAGAAGAAAAAGCAGTAAGGCAACTAATAATCCAACAATACAATGTAAGATGCTTTTACTAAAAGAGATCTTACATTGTATTGTTGGATTCATAGTAGTGTTGATTATGCACCCACAGAATTTGGAGTAAGAAGGCTGGAGCCCATGGTCTGCCATTGATTAGCTGAGTGACCTGAAGCAACATAATTAACCTCTGTGAAACTCACTTTCGTCATTTGTAAGAATAGGGATAATTATACCAATCTCACACAATTGTTAAAGTTCAAAGGATATCATGGAAGTAAATGTGCTTTTCAAGCTCTATAGTTGCCAAAATTATAGAATATTATTTTATTTCCATTAGACCATGAGCTCTCTTAAGTCTAGGATCATGTAAACATTTTTGTACAAAAATTCCTACACTTAACACTACATCTGGGACAAAGCAAATGTTCAGCAAATGCTGAATGAATGTGTGAATGAATAAATTCAGGAAACTAGAGCTATAGAGAATATGACCTTTGCTCTTAGAAGACTCATAATCTAGGAGAGGGGATGGATATATGGCAATATGTTATAACACAATTTGAAATTACACCTGCACAACTTCAGCAGTGTTATATTAATCACCTATCTGGTAATTTCTCTATTCCTTCTTTTCTGTGTGCAAACATATGCATAACTACGCGGACACAAATTCAAGCTCACACTAATATATGTTAAATTGCTGTGAATTTTGCCATATGAAAAAAAATGAGGGTTTTTAGAGTTAGAAGATGCTTTTTAAATAACATATCTTAGTAAGGAGAGTAAGTCCATATTATGTATATTTTATTTTAGGGAGGATAGGTGAACAACCTCAGTTTCCTATTTCTATACAGTTGATATCAAAACAATGACCTTCCATAAACCCCTTATCGACTGATCTTTGTGATTTCTCAGGAGAAAAGAAAAGTGAGACTAATGTTTAACTGTTGTGAAAAATCTTAAATTGATTAAGATGTGGTTATAAAAACTTACATCTCAGGAAGTGTTCTCCTCCCAGAAATGTTCTTGATGAAAACCAGAGAAAGCTATGCTTACTTAGTAGTTGCTTAAATAATTACTGTTGTATGAATGGACCAGATGACCTCATAGGACCTTCTTCACTCTGAAATTCTTTGAGGATAAAAAGCCTAGAACAGTCGGGAGTTAGAAATCTGAGCCCCTCTTGGTGTAATTGCATCTGGAACACAAAACCACTTACCTGCAGGAAGTTATGAACATTGGCCACAGATACATTACTGTTGAAGGGAAAAAAACACAAATAGGTCAGTTGAAAGTTCTGCTTAGTCTAACTCACAATTCAGTGTTAGTCATTTGTGTGACTACAGAAGGATCCCAAAGCAACAGACACAGAATCTAAGGTAGAGGAATTTCAAGTATAACTATCAAATCTATTAGGCAGAGGAATTTTTAAAACAGTATCCCACAGCTGCTGTCTTCATTTTCAGATGCATGATGTTACTTTGTATTTGTATTTTCTTCAAAGTATTTTATCTTGACATCAAAATTTGGATAGGGGAAATATTGGTGTCTTCATGTTACAGACAGAGAAACTAAAGCACAGAAAAGCTGGGGACCTACTAAGATGACCTATTTACTGGCAGATCAGAGCCAACTATCCAGCATTGCAGAGATGAGAACTCAGGTCATTTGAGTGCCACTTCAATGGTTTATGTTTGTTTTTCATTGGAATGCTTCTTTGTGCTAGCACTTGGTGGTTCATCGCTGTCGGAATGGGAATAAGGGTGAGGATGGCATTGAAGGATAGGGGAATTATAAATTTTGAACTAATGTGTTGCAAACCATAAGAGGATGTGCAAAAACAGTAGCTCCAAAGTGGAAAACAAAAGTAAAAATAATTCACATATTTTTTGCAGAATTCTGATTCTCTTTCTTCTAACTTTCTTTCTTCCCCAGTGATTTGCTCTCAAAAGAGAAACATGAAAGTCAACAGTAAGCATATAAATATTAATAATTAAGACAGATGTCTGCAACTCACCTAAAATAAGAATGAAATTCTACTTGCAGAGTTCTTTTCTTTCACACACATGTGTGTGTGTCTGTGTGTGTGTGTGAATGAAGCCCTCAAATATGGCACAATGTGGAGAGTGGGGAGCCATTTGCATTTCAGTCCCTTGGCCAAACCAAACTGTGACTTTTCTTCCCCCACTGAGAATTCTGGAAAACTCTGAAGACTTTGTTTTTACCTTTAATCTCACATCCCTAGGTGTTTATGAAAATTAACTTTTTGTGGAGCAAGAAGGGTGAGGATGGGAAAGAGTGCAAGGAAACCATTCAGGCGGGGCATATGCTGACAGAGTCAGTGTTCTACGGGGTTAGGGGAGATAGTTATAAACGGAAATGTGCAGTTTCACTTAAAGAACACATGGAGACCTAGGAATGTGACTCAATTTCTTTTAAAGAAGAAATAATCAGAAAGGAGGGTGGATAAATATGTTTCCTTATGCTTCGCTTTCATGGGAAAAATTCTTTTAGCCATTTTATTTATTTTTAAATATAAACAAAATAATCTTTTCCAAAGCCTCCAAAATTTAAAGCTGTTTTACTTTTTCTGAATAAAGCTCCATTCTAAATGGGAAACAAAGTTTGTGTGACACCCTCTAACTCCTTTCTCCACCTTCCCACCACCCTATTACCAATTCTTATTTAAGTGGCTGCCAGCCACAGGCCCAAATTTGAAGAGATTCATGAACTACACTATTTCAGAATAATGATGTCCTATTTTATAGGATGCTCAGACTTTGGGAAGAGTGAAAAGATGGAACCTCTTCAGCATTAACTGAGATATATTAGTATTAGGAATATAAGGTCTGTGAATAACCTGCCCTGCAAATAGGCTCCAACATTTCATAATCCTGAGGAGAAATTGAAGAAAGCGTTATCAAATACAATAGGCAGAATTAAAAATGGATAAGAAAACTAGGGACTGAAACTGAAAATAAAAACAGCCTTACAAAATACTCTTTTCCTAAATTTGGATGATACAGCTGAACAATAATAAACACTAAAGCTCTATTGTGGTTAATTTTTAAAGAAGTATATGCAACATTTGTCATTATTATAGAATAGAATTTCAGAAATTGTTATTGTAACTGGTTCCCAAAGCTGTATTTCTTAACAGTTGTGACCATATTTCAGTGCTGAGTTAACCCTGTATGCTTGGCTTACTAACTTCTTTCACTTTCTTCCTTATGCCTGGAGCACTTTTATAAGTCACGTGGCTCTGGGTCACAGTGTCTCTCTGAACTACAGTCGTTTGAATTAGAAGTTATATTACTACCTATTCTAAAAACACAATGAGTAGACTCAGATTTCTCTGGTATTTAGCGCTAGATCTTTAGTCAGAAAACATTTTTTAATTTTCTTATTTACCATTAACGTTGTTTAAGGCAGAAAATTTTTAATAAGCAATTAACATTAGATTATACATCAGAAGATGAATTAAATGCAATTGTATGGAGAACAAGAGAGGACTAATCTTCTAAGGAGTGTTAGGCAAATGAAATACTCCATAATCCAGAAGCAACGGTTTTCTTGAAATAACCTGTACGTGGGTGCCTCTCTATTCTGCGTATCATGGACTTTTTTGCTGTTTTCCTTATAAATAATTCTGAATTAATATTAATGTGTTTTATTATTAAATTTATGATTGGTGGGAAAGTGGAAAGTCCTTTTATTCCTGGCCTCACAACCCCCTCCACAGAAAAGTGCTTTGAGAATTTTATACATAAAAAGTTACTTACAATTTAAGTAACGCTTCCATAAACAAATAAAGGGCTCAAGTGCCTAGAAAATGCAGTGTCTCCAAATTCTGGCTGCCCCCTTTACAAACCTTGTCTTTCTTCTTAAATATCTGTAACTTGTTTTTCAAAATCTGATATCTAAGGAGTTACATCTCTCTCAAGCACTTTGTTGGCTCCACTCTGAAAAGCGTTATTTGCTTGGACAAACAGCATGTTCTAAGCATTAGAGAGGAATTTAAGTTTTCTGCTTTGAGGACACTGCCTTAAATAGCATTTGTGAGTTCCGTTTTTCAGATGAAGCATGAACAATAAAACCTCTTTCCAAGGGACTTACATTTTTTTCCACTAGAGGTCTCTCTCGTAACAGCTTTCCTTTTGTTGGGCTCATTAATTATTTTACTCAAAGGAACAATTCTACCTTTTACATTGGAATGCCGCACTTAACATGTTATGCTAGAGAAAGATATAATACCTCCTTAGCTTGTTCTCCTCCTTGATAAGTAGATATTAGGTTGACTGAATGAATCATCTTGGATATTTTATTACACAATGGCTACACTTTAGTAAAGAAGTTTGAACTTTCACCTACACTTCCAAAAGTCTCAAAATTTGACCAGTTAAAACAATATGCTAAAATAAATGTGCTTTATCAATGAGCATTAAATGGTCAGGCTTTGAACTCTCCCGAGAACATCTAATATCCAGTGTCAACTTAGATCATGTAATTGTAAGCCTGAACCATTTTACATTCATGTCTTTCACTTTTGCAGTAAAACACACACACACACACATTTTTTAAAATTTGTGTAGGATTATTTAGTGTTTTGTTATTTCCTGTTCTAGTCCTTGAACAGAAAATAGACTATTAACTTTGGACAAATCTATAGTATATTATAGAGTTTTCTGTTTTTAATATGTGTTTTCTGAAGAAAATACTAATTAGAAACTGCTTTTTCCAAAAAAAAAAAGAAAAGAAAAAAGGCTTTTGCCATTAACTCTTGTGAAAAGACCAGGAAATTTAAATAATTTTTAAACAGATGGAATCTAAAATGAAAATAATGTAGGATACTCTCAAAACATAATATAAAATTGCATTGAACAAAGTACTGCAGAATAAAAAACACTGACATCAGTCACAAAGCTATTAAAATATTCAGAAAACCCAAAGAGTGTTCAGGTTTGAGGATGGAAGTAAAAAGACAGAGCTGTGTTCTTGACACAAGAAATTCAATGGGAAGATGTGAAATGTGAAGAAGCAAAGGAACACCTAGCAAATCAATTTTAGTGTTATACTGAAGGTAGAGTATGTCTGCATGAATGGATACAGTGGCTAAGCACAGAGCAATACTGTATAATGAAAAAGGGCACGAGGAAGTGAGGAAATTTGACAAGCTGCAAAATGTACCACAACCTGGCCAGGAGAACACAGACCTGTCAGACAACAGTTTTGAGAATCAGAAACTGTACTATAATGGGAGCAGAAAATAGACAATGCATTATTGACATTATTGAAACTACTCTGCTACCCAAAGAATTTACCTGATACTTCCTCCTCCAAGTGTAATTGATTAAGCAGTTAAGCACATGTTTTTCTTTCAACACCAATTCAGACATATCAGTGTATTTGCTGATTACACATGTAACAACTTCAAGTATTTTAACTGAATGACTGATCAATTAATGAAAAAAAATCAGTGAAATCAAATAATGGGATTGACTAGAATTTTTTTTTCCAGGAGTGACTAAATTGAACAGACATTTTTCCAAAGTTCTAGGTTCTTTGTGTTAGTGACAGGAGCTTCAATAAAAGCACATTCAGGTGAGCTGTTTGGGCAGTTCAAATGGCTAAGATGATAGCATACACATCACAGACTCGTGGAATTTTAGTTCCAAAAGGAGTCTCAGAGACCATTTTTTTTCATTTTACAGTTGAAGAGACTTATTCAAAGAGGTTAAGTGACTACTGTAGGACCCCTAAATGACTGTATTATTCTGGTAGATGAGAAGAAGTCCTAATTGTTTAAAAAGAAACAAACAGCAGCTTAGTAATATTGCATCCAGAGTGTATACATCACGGAGATATGTAGATTCTAAATGTTTTGAAGGTGAAAAACATGCTAATGTTATTTTCTTATGGAAAAATTTATGTTTTACAGAATATTCATTGTCTCATTTTAAGGGAATGTGAAAAGAAGTGCTATCTTTAGGAAAGATGGAGTCTTAGAATAGGCATTCAATGCAAGAAAGTTTTTTATTTTTTTATCTATCAGTGGACACTATGCTCCTTAAAATATGTTTTCTTAATGTTTCTGTTTCTAACTTAGGAACTAATATTTGTGGCTTCCGGTAGTTTTTTTTTTTATTTAATTCAACATCTTCTAATTAATGAGGATGGATTGACCCAATCAATAACACCCAATTAGACTAACGAAATTAGCAAATTTAGAGCAATGAAAAACGGTTCTATGTGATAGTTTTTCTTTTTCTTTTTTTTCTTTCCAAGACAATTTGTTGACATTAATTCATAGTCAAACTTGTGAATTTCAGAGTATAATTTTGAAAAAAGAGATAGTAATATAAATTGTCATTAAAATAAGGAAGTTGACATTTTCTACAAGATAAATTAGAAATGAAGGAACATTTTTCTTTTTTCTTGAAACGAATAGCATATTGCATCTTTACGAGGTCCTTTTTTTACATATCTCCATATACAGGGTAGTTGATGACTACATTTCTGTAGGTTTATCAAGGTGCTTTTATTCAGACAAATTATTGGCATCCTGATGTTGAACATATCATGGGCAAAAACCCATTATAAGCAATTTCCAAACCTTAAAACATAGCATTACATTTCTTGTCTCAGTAACCCTTTAGGTAAACATTATGTGTTTTTTTCTGTTAGTTACTAGGGAATTATAAGAAATGCAATTGATTTGATACAGTTTATTTTAGATTTCATTGTAGTTTTAATAATTAGAATACTTTGAATATGGTTTGGAGTAAGAAAAAAAACCTTCAATTCCCTCCAAAACATTTTTGCATTTCTTTCCTCTTTTTTCATTACTTCTCCCTCTATCTTTTAATCATTTTTTAAATTCCTTTCTCCTTCATTCTCCTGTGACATTTTAGAAAGTTATTTGCTTAACTTTTGTTCACATCTTCCATTTTAAATCCTGGATGAGTTTCATGAGGTCAATGAAAACCACTTGGAAGACAATGTAAATACGTCTTAGTGATTTTTGAAGTGTGTGCTTCTTTATATATACATATATATATATATACACACACACACACGTGTGTGTGTGTGTGTGCGTGTACTGTCCACCATGGGAGGGGAGTAGATCTATTCAGGTATCCCCTCCCAATATTAAATTATAAATTGTAGTAATCCCTGATCAGAAATAAAAATGCCAATAAGATATGGATCAACAATGGTTCTCCCTACACTGAAAAGATTTGAGTTATTGCCTAGGCAAAAGCTCAGTCTCTTCCTGTGTGGCCAGTAAGGGTATGGATGCAATTTAAAAGACAAACCCAGATACGGGTTTTTGCCTTCCTTTTGAAAATTTGCATGTTTTTTTCTCTGACCATTAAGCTTTTAACAAGTGTATCCCTTAATGGAGTGACTTACAGTTGGTCGTTAAGGTAAAATAGCACTTCATCCTGCTTATACAATGACTGTTCACAGGTTAGATATTTAGAAGTTTGTCCATGGAAGCGCAACGGGTACTTAGACCATAGCTCTCACTTGTAAACTGAAAAATTTGGCTTTTCATTCTTGAAAGGACTTTTTCTTAACGGACAAAGATTATTTTTCTGAAGAAAATGTTTGCACTATCTTGTTGACACTTCTTTCAGTTTGGTAGATAACTTAAATGGTACAGAAAACATATCGTAGAATGCCACTGACTTTATTTTACTTTTAAAAAGACCTCCTTTATTTTCATAAAATTTTGACATATTTATGTGAGTTTTTTCCTTTAAAGTACATGTCAACAGATTTTTAAAAACTCTTTGTCAGTAGCCATCTGATACATCATTTAAATTGCTTTGTTTACAACAAAATTTTGGCATAAATAAATATGAAAATTGAACTAGTACAAATGCCTTGAGCAGTCAGCATAGTAAATTATACATCAGCTGTCAGTGTGAGTTGAAACACATCTACATATTGAGTAGCATGTTCAGCGTGTCTAATCAGAACAGTATGTAACCTGTTAGTGCATATGAGACCTTGCCAAACCAAAATTATTTACAAGCTGCATTTTGTGTTCTGAAAAGTTTCATAAAGAAAAAGATGTCTGCAAAAAAAAATGCAAAAGAACACACTGATCTCAAATACACAAATATTTTAAAAATTAAATCAAAAGAAAAACTGTGAGCATTGTGTTCAATAATTATTACTGAATCATCATAACAGTTTTATAGCCCAATTCTTGTTTTAAAATTTTCATTAAAATTGCTCATTTGTATTAATGTTGATACTGATCCTCTACTCCTGATTCCCAGGGGATCTGGCATCAGAAAAATCTCTTCTTGATTCATCTTGTGTTTTCTAATTCTCAGTACAAATATACCAAAACATGATTGGTTGATAACTTACTCATGTGAATAGGTACAAAAGAATGACTGTGGTTGTGTATTATATGTTTGTTGATGTAAACGAAGTATGTTAAAGTAAATCAACATGTGCAATGTCATTCTGATCTCAAGAAGCCCGTAGATGCATTCTTGAAGAGAAGGTAGGAGACAATCAAACCTCAGAAGAGCTTCAAATAAGCAAAATTTATTTTTAAGGACCTCAGCTTCCTCTTGAATACCCTTCTTAAGACTTCAGACTTGATGAGTTCTTATGCTTTCTCTCTTCATACAATTATTCCCCCACCCCACTCTCTCTTTCTGCCCTGCTCTCAGAGCATTTTAACGGCCATTCACCTCTTAAATAAAATGGGCAAAGATGGATCATAGACACTTTAGAAAAATTTTATCTACCCCTTGCCCCTTGATTCACACCATGGATTATCTAGCTCTATTTTTAGCCTGGCTTTCATCTCAATTTGTGTACATTTGTGGGCAGAGTTTTCCTTCAAATAAATACAGTATAAAAATCTAAATCTCCATTTGAGTAATTTAATCCTCTGTTTCTTAAACAATACTAATTATAAATAGTATGGTATTTTAAAAATGCAACTTTGAAAGAAATCATTAATAACAGATAAATAGGTAATAATTTCATACTTAGAGTTTGAGTCACCTTTTTCTTCTATTATTCTCTAAAGGTATCTTTTTTTCTGCTATTTTCTAAAGGTATCTGACATACTTAGGTACCAAAGCATTGTAGTATATTTTGAGCTTCTTTTCTTCTTAGTTGTGATAGATTTTCATTGAGTCACTCATCTCTTTCACTTCCTGTGATAAATTGTGCAGGCACAGAATACAACTAAATAGATGGAGGTGGGGATGAGAGCATTTCATGGCAAAAGGGATTATTGGTTATTTACTATATGTAATTGAGGGGTTTTTAAGAAAAGCTTAAATGTCATATTTAAAACTGTTTCTTTTTTAAAAGGGCTTGCTATTTTATAAGTCCCATACTATTTTAGTTGTAATCATATTTTAAAAAGTCAGTAAACAGGTGTTTATGAAGTTCTTTAAACTTATCTTGGCTGTTAGCCTTTTCTTACCTTCTGACATTTGAATCTGTAAAAACCTAATATGTTTTATCAAACAAATTAATGCTACAAAAATTATTGTAAGAAATAATCATTGAAACTTAGCTTGAAAATATGGCATTAATGAAATTTGATAAGAACTGCTAGTGGTTTTTTTCCTCACAAGAATTCAAGGATTTGTGTGTGACTTTTCAAAAAAGCCTTAAAATCTGTATTTGTGGGGGGAAAATGCATAACTAGATCTCTTTACTGCCTAGTAGAAAATTAACTTATTGAGGTAGGGTGGCAGTATTATATAGTGTTACTCTTTGCAGGAAACTACTAAGAGGCTGCTATATCTGGAAGACATTTGATGCTATTACTAACAATGTCTGGATAATTATAAAGTTTAGGATTTTAGTCATTGTGTAGGAAATAATCTAGATTTGAGGATGATTTCGATTTGTTTTTATTTTATCTAAATGTTTACTTTTGTGTATACATTGACCATAATATTCTAGTCTGTTATAGTAAAAATAAATGAACGTGCACAAGCAGTTCCTTGTTGTTTGCCATTTAAAGTGGCTGAGGTTTAAATTTTTATAATAAATAAGACACAATACTTAAATGTATAAGTAATGGTCATACATGTAACTTTTTATAATTGAATATGTTCATTCAAGAGAAAAATTATCCTATCAGTTCTTGTTTTTAAGTATCTCCAATAATATATAGCTTTACTTACAATAGGAACCAATCTGAGGAAGCATAAAGGAAAATTTATTTTGAAAATAAATGTGTCCATTTTCCAGAAAGTATATGAGCATAGCTATGAAAGTAGAAATATTGTGACTTACCTAAAGAGGTACAGAACTTAAAAACATATAAATCTGTCCAATAAAAGGAAATTACTATTTTCTCCCCCATTGAAATAAATATGACTATCTGAAAAATCAGTAATATAAGATTAGTTATCCCATTTGGAGATGGGCGTATTTCTTGTCGGAGCCTATTCCAGAAGTATTTTTTAATGGTGACTGAGACTGTGAATCAATCAGACCTAATTAGCCCTCCTAACCATGTTAAAATGCTGAGGTTTTTCAAGTGCTCAGTTAGACTTAGTACCGTGAAACTAAGAGAATTATTTTGAATGCGGTGTAGGAAAGAAAAAGTTTTCAAAATATTTCAATATTAAATGTTCTTTATCATTTTTACATGAGAAAGATATGAAACCATGTATTTTATAATTTTGTTTCGTATGTAAAAACTCTTTAAAACTACTGAGAAAGAAATTCTTTATGCAGAAATAAACCAGTTTCTATACTAGGGTAAACAATGTATTATTTGGCGCTGTTTTAATGCCTCTCTCAGTATGTAAGTGTTCCTGTGAACTGTGGGTTAAGTGAATCCTTCTCCAACTCTAAAGGTTCACTTAAAGTTGGAGAAGATTTACACCCTTATATGAGAAGTTAGGAAACTTTTACAAAGCAACACCAGGCAGGACACCAGATACTGTGTGTGGCACCAATTATAATTACCGTGTGTGCAGCAGCCCCGAACTATAGGATGGGGGGAATGTTGTGAAAGAAGTAGGAACCTCTTCAGATAACACACATTGATAGAGCCATGTTCTATAAGATTGGAATATTTTTTGTTGTTCTTTATTACTGATACACATTTCACTTATGTGTTTAAATAAATTCAATGTCCAGTTATATCAAATATTTTTCATTGCTCATTGAAATAGCATTCTTATCAATCAGGTAAATCACTCTCTTGTGGTAAGAGTTTAACTCAATGAGTTTTCAGTTTGAGGATGTATACTGAACAGTGCAATGATAACTCCATAACCCCTAATAACTCTGATGGCTGAACAAAATCAATATAAAACAAGTAAGCAGGTGAGATTTTATTTTAAAATATGTTTTATGTAAAATTTTACATTTGAACCAAATATTTTGGTGTTGCATAAGCCCACTTAGGTGTACTTTGTGAGTTATAAACTAATGTCATCATGTATTAGTATTATGCAAAATTTAAACTAGGTGGTTTTTGTAGCTGTAATAAAACTTATTTCACCTTATATTTAGAATATGATTTTTGATATTTAAAAGTTTTTTTTCAAATAAACTACAATTCTCAAAATAATCCTGGACATGTACATATATAATGAGTTCCATTTTATAAACATGAAAAGCATGGCTCAGAGAGATGAAAAGGTTTTTCCAAGGCCAAATTGCTACTAAAAAAAAAAAAATGGAACAAGGATAAGAGATTTGGATATCTTGGGCCAGGGCTCTTTTCTCTCACTAACACTGCCTCTTATGTAAGAAAGTATATTCGAATTGCATGCTATAGCCTTCATTTAAATATACATATCTTTAAAATTAAGTCATTAAAATGATTAAGTTTTGTGGTTTTAGGGAAGCAGGCAATATGAAATGCATTGGCTCCTAGCAAGAGGTGTTCCCATCTAAAACAGCCAGGGGATATGCTATATCAGAAACTCCAGAAAGTATTTGTAAAATTTGTCACAGTAAAAACATCACTGCATTCAGATACAATCTTCATTGACTCTTATCCAGAATTTACTCATAGGAAACAAAAACTAAAGGAGAAAAATAAAAGATATTTGCCTAAATGCCCATAAGAGAGTTTGTGTTACTCTGAAAAAAATATCTATTTGATTTCTTCAGAGTGATGCTATTCAAAGTTTCAAACAGACACTAGTTACTAATGCAACTATATTGCATCAATGCTTATTTAAAAATATTCATTAACATGCTTGAAATCTCAAAAATGACTTGAAGAAAATCTGAACATATTCTTCAGAACGTAAAATGAATGCTAAAAACCAAGAAATTTAAAAACTTAAGAATACCAAACACTCTAACAGTGGTTGGTCTTCATCAATTTGTTTTTAGATATCCCAAGTTTCTATTATACTATTTGCCTTGTCTAAAAAAATAAAAAAAAATGGTGAGGGCTTGGTTTCCATGGTGACACAACTATTTTCATACATATTTATCATTGAAATGCCAGAAACCCACCCCTTTCTATCAAAGAATGCTACTTTAGCTCTTAATAATTGAAGTTAAAGCTGATTTATTTTTTATGTCAGAATGTTTTAAACAGATCCATCACCGAAAACTGAGGCAGCATTACAGTCATTTTCTCATAAGCAATTTATTTCACACATGACTTCTGAAAAAATACTTCTGGTTTTCAAAAACTGGAGGAGACTTTGCTTCTTTTTTCCCCTTCAGTCAGCACCACAGGGATTCCCAGCTAAGCTTTCAAAATGTTGCAGAACATACATTGCGTACGGCACACAACCTCCAATTTCATTAATACAATGTTCAAAAGGAGAACATGCACATCTTGGCTTTGCCAATAACCAGAGAGCAATGAAGTTAGTGCCTATTACTAAATTAATAATTTGAGAAATAAAATGCTTAATTTCATCTCATTTGCTGTCTTGGTAAAGTTGCTTAATTTTCCTTGAAATCTGAATGCAGAATCTGAGTTTTCTTCTACCAAAGTACTTTTTAAAAAATTGGAGCCCATAATTGGGTATAATACTTAAATTATTTTAAAAAGTCCCCCCATTCTCGGTATACCATATGTAGCCTCTAATTAGCAGTAATCTCACTTTGAGGTATAAGTATCATGGTTAGCATATTATTCGACTCATTTTGAATAAATTGAATAATAAGAAGAAGTATAATAAAATAAGAAGAAATAAATTAAGGCAATTAATTGTTATTAACTTGTCTTTGTTGAAAGACAACTAAAGTAATATATTAAAGAAACGAATTAAAACATGGTGAGTTAAAATCAGTTCGTCCACAAATGAAACCTGTTCAAAAGCCATTAAAGTACATCAAAACAAAACAGGTAAAATGTATTGAAACATCAAGGAAAGGAAGTTAAATGAAAGGTAAAGGTCTAAGGTGTCACTAAAAAAAAATAAATTTGACATAGAGTAGGTCAAATACTTCTGTCCCCTTTTAGGGTAAGATGTTCTGTTGAAATTATCTATTAACTTCTGATGAAGAGAACTAAGTAAACCTCTGAGATGGACATGATGAAGTAGTTAGGATCCATTTCCTTAGAGTCATCTTATGCATTTATCATTGGGAACGCCAGCTTAACTGTTACAACTGGAGTCAAGCCCCAAATAGTGACATTTCAGTCAACGGGGGACGACCTATACAAAGGCAGTCTTAAAAGATTATAATACCATATTTTTACTTGTTTCTAGGTTTTGATATGTAGATACACAGATGCTTACCATTGTATTACAATTACCTACAGCATTTAGAACAGTAATATGCTATAAAGATTTGCAACCTAGGAGCAGTAGACTACATCATATAGTTTAGGTACGAAGTAGGCTACACCATCTAGGTTTGTGATACAATACACTCTATGATGCTGGCACGACAACAAAATCACCTAATGATGCATTTCTCAGAAAGTACCCCTGTTTCTAAGTGATGCATTTCTATATTTAACATTTTCTAAAATTTTTGTTTTAGATAAATAAGCCCTTTTCATGACTAAAAATTCAAGAATGAGAAGGAACAAATTTTCAAAATTCTGCTAACATAGGAGGCTATATTATCCCAATTTAGATAGTTTTCTTATCTTCACATATTTTGGAGGACTTTTTTTTTTTTTCCAACTTTTGTTTTAGGTTCAAGGGGTATATGTGCATGTTTGTTACATGGGTAAATTGTGTGCCATGGAAGTTTGGTGTACAAATAATTTTGTCATCCAGGTAATCAGCATGATACTTCATAGGTAGTTTTTCAATCCTCATCCTCCACCCTCAAGTAGGCCCTAGTGTTTATTGTTCCCTTCTTCGTGTGCATGTATACTCAATGGTTAGCTCTCACTAATAAGTGAGAACATGTGGTACTTGGTTTTCTGTTCCTGCATTAGCTTGCTTAAGATAATGGCCTCCAGCTTCATCCATGTTGCTGCAAGGGATATGGCCTCATTCCTTTTTATGGCTGTGTAGTATTTCATGGTATATATTATCATATTTTCTTTATCTAGTCCACTACTGATGGGCATGTAAGTTGATTCTGTGTCTTTGGTATTGTGAATAGTGCTGTGATGAACATATGAGTACATGTAACTTCATGGTGGAATGATTTATATTCCTTTGGGTGTATACCCAGCCATGGGATTGCTGGGTTGTATAGCAGTTCCATTTGGTTCTTTGAGAAATCTCCAGACTGCTTTCCACTGTGGCTGAACTAATTGACATTCCCATCAGCAGTGTATAAGCATTCCTTTTTCTCTGCAACCTTGCCAGCATCTGTTATTTTTTTTTTCATTTTTAGTAATAGCCTTTCTAATTGGTGTGAGATAGTATCTAATTGTGGTTTTGATTTGCATTTCCCTATTGATTAGTGATATTGAGGATTTTTATATATGCTTGTTGGCCACATGTATGTCTTCTTTTGAGAATTGTCTGTTCATGTTCTTTGCCCATTTTTAAATGGGGTTGTTTAATTTTTGTTTGTTGATTTAAGCTCCTTATAGATTCTGTGTATTAGACCTTTGTCGGAAGCATAGTTGGCAAATGTTTTCTCTCATTCTGTAGGTTGTCTGTTTACTCTGTTGATAGTTTCCTTTGCTGTGCAGAAGCTCTTTAGTTTAATTAGGTCTCACTTGTAAATTTTTGTTTTTGTTACAATTGCTTTTGGAGTTATTGTCATAAAGTCTTTGCCAGGGCCAATGTCCAGAAAGGTATTTCCTAGATTTTCTTCCAGGGTTTTTACAGTTTTAGGTTTTACATTTAAGTCTTTAATCCATTTTGAGTTGATTTTTGTATATGGTGAAAGGTAAGGGTCCAGTTTTAATCTTCTGCATGTGAATAGGGAGTCCTTTCCCCATTGCTTGTTATTGTCAGCTTTGTCAAAGATCAGATGGTAGTATGTGTGCAGCTTTATTTCTGGGTTCTCTAACATTTTCCATTGGTCTATATGTCTATTTTTGTACCATACAATGCTGTTTTAGTTACTGTAGCCTTGTAGTATAGTTTGAAATTGTGTAGTATGATGTTTCCAACTTTGTTCTTTTTGCTTAGGGTTGCTTTGCCTATTTTGGCTCTTTGCTGGTTCCAAATAAATTTTAGAATTTTTTTTTCTGATACTGTGAAAAATGTCATTGGTAGTTTGATAGAAATAGCATTGAATCTGTAAATTGCTTTGGGCAGTATGGGCATTTTAACAATATTGATTTTTCCTACCCATGAGCATGGAATATTTTTCCTTTTGTTTGTGTCATCTCTTATTTCTTCCAGCAATGTTTTGTAATTTTCATTGTAGAGTACTTTCTTTTCCCTAGTTAGCTGTATTAATAGGTATTTTATTTATTTTGTGGCTATTGTGAATGAAATTACATTCTCGATTTGACTCTCAGCCAAGTTGTTATTGGCGTATAGAAATGCAACTCATTTGTGTACATTGATTTTCTACCCTGAAACTTTGCTGAAGTTGTTCAGCAGACCTAAGACCGTTTGGGCAGAGACTATGTGACTTTCTATATATAGAATCAACTTTTTCTTCTTGGCAAGATGCAACACTCTTCTTTGAGTAAAGTAAATCCTTTGGCTGGGATGATTATAAATGATAAGTGTCTGTGATATTCCATAGACATTCCACGATGGTCTAGAGATATTGTAGCTTTCACCAAGCCTCCTGAAATTAAGTGGATAGGATGGAATATTTACAGAAAATGTAGAAAAAAAACAAAGAATGTGCCCCCTTAGAAGAATATGTATGTATTTTAAAGCAAAGTTTTATTATTACAAAATAACATATATTCCTTTTACAGAAATTGGTACAAATAAAATAATAAGTGAAGATAATGAGAAAAATATTGAAATTGAAACAAATCTAAATCACAGTGGATATTTTGCCATATTTTATCCCAAATAATTTTATTTACAAATAAAAAATGAGATGTATGCTATTCACTGTGATAATCCTCACTTAACAATGTGCTTTTCATTTAATACTATATTAGGTCCACAGGCAAAAAAAAAAAAAAGGAACATCAGTGAAGGCAAATATTTTGCTAATTTTAAAATATAGTATAAGTGCATGTCTTCTTTTAGCTTATTTGAAAACTACATAAAACAATTTGTATATAATTTTACCATTGGGGCTAAAACATATAGAAATCAAGCACATTTGACAATAACATCATGAAAAAATTAGTAGGGACAAAACTGTGTTGGAATAAGAAAACGATGTCAGATTATAATGAGTTCACAGGAAAAATAAAGAGAACCTAAAAGCTAATATACCCAGCTCTGTAAGTATGTACTTTATCTCCTTTCTTCTCTCCACATTTTAATAGATCAAAAATTACATAAAGTAATAAATGCGTAAATTTTTTGTTTGCAAAATACATAAATGTAAAATATATAATAATAACACAAAAAGGAAAAGGGATAGAGCTATAAAGGAGTAAATTTCTATATTACGTTGGAATTGTTAGTATAAATATGAAGAAAATTCTTGTAACTTAAGTGTATGTTGGAAATCTTAGAAAAACCACTAAGAAAGTAACTATATATAGTGAAAATTGCTCAAGAAACTAAAATATTACACAAAAATTCAATTAATGCAAAAAATGTAGTAAAGTATTAAGAGCGGAACACAAAAGACATGATGCACAAAGAAAACCATTAGAAAAATGCTAGAAGTAAATATAATCATATCAATAATAACATTAATTTTGAAAGAATTACACAATCCCATCAAAAGGCAGAGACCTCAATACTCCACTTTCAATATCGGATAGAAAAAGGAAGTAGAAGATCAAAAATAATATAAAAGGCTTGAACAACACTATAGATCAGCAGCAAAATACACATTTTTCTCAAGCACACAAAAGACATTCTTCAGGATGAACCATATGTTAGATCATAACAGAAGCCTCAATAAATTTAAAAGAATTGAAATAATGAGAGCCATGTTCTTGCAACACAATGGAATTAAATTAAAAATCAACCACACACACAAAATTAAAACTTTACAAATATGTTGAAATTAATCAACACACTCCTGAGACAAAAATGGGTCAAATAAGTCACAAAGGAACTAGAAAAAACTTAGATGAAGTGAGAGCACATAATTCTAAAGCATGGTATATGGCTAAAGTTATGCTTAGAAGGAAACTTAAAATTGTAAATGCCTATATTTAGGAAGCAAGGTCTCAAATAAAAAATTGTACCTTACTGTAAATTATGTAGTGGTGATGGTTGCACTACTCTGTAAATATAGTAAAACTCATTGAATTATACACTATATATGGGTAAATGCTATGTTATATGAATTATATAACAAGAAGGCTATTAAAAATAATAGATTGAAAGTGCTTTCTAATACTATTATTATTATTATTTTATTTTTGAGACAGAGTCTCGCTCTGTCACCAGGCTGGAATGCAGTGGCACAATCTTGGCTCACTGCAACCTCCGCCTCCTGGGTCAAGTGATTCTCCTGCCTCAGCCTCCCGAGTAGCTGGGACTACAGGCACCCGCCACCACGCCCGGCTCATTTTTTGTATTTTTAGTAAAGATGGGGTTTCACCATGTTGGTCAGGGTGGTCTTGATCTCTTGACTTTGTGATTCACATAATATATTATGGCTACGTTCTATAACTTATTTAATTAATTATTTTACATTTAAGTTGTTTTTATTTTTCAGTTTGTAATGTTGAAATGAATATTTAGCTATAGAAATATTGTACAAATATCTATTTCTTCATTTATTAAGTTTTATTTCCAGAAGTAACTTTACTAAGTAAACATGTATTTACATTTGTAGGGTAATTCGGCTAAATTGCACTCCAGAAAACCTTGCTATGGCATATATTTGAAAACACCTGTTCCTGATTACCATAGAAGCCATTTGTGTCTGGATGTTCTAGTTTGTGCATTAATCTCTGTTTATTCATATACAAAGGAAACACTATTTTTAAAATCGTAGTTTTATAATACTTGTTTATTTAAATATGCTCTTCAGAAACTTTTACCAGGGTATAGTGGCTCATGCCTGTAATTCCAGCACTTTGGAGACTGAGGTGGGAAGGTGGCTTGTGCCTGGAAAGTCGAAGCTGCAGTGAGCTGTGTTTGCACCGCTGCACTCCAGCCTGGGCAACGGAGACACTGTCTCAACAAAAATAAAATTAAAAATAAATAAAAACTTTTAAAATAAATGCAATAGAGACACATGCTGGAAATATCAGACAGTAGCTTCCATAATACCCCGCACACAAGAGGAATAAGTACTAAGGACTTAGAGGAGCTTGACTCTCATTCTAATAAACTTTCATCCCTATGTCTCAAAATAATAGATATATATCATTGTTTAACATGTGAAATCACACTAAAATATTGTTCTCAACTTTGCTTTCTTCAGCTTCAAAATATATATCCAAGATTTTATTTTATGAGGACTGATAGTTCAGCTTCAGTTTTAAAATGGCTGCATTATATTCCTTTGTATGAATAAATTGAAACTTATTTAAATAAGTCTCTACAAATAGATTTTAGATTACTTATTTCCCTTTAATTTTACTTATTATATATTTAGTTTATATTACCTATTTCCTTACAATTTTTTCATTGCAATTAATACAGTAATGATCAACTTTTTAAGATTTATTTTTATTTTTTATTTTTTAAGTTCCAGGGTACATGTGCAGAATATACAGGAGTGTTACATAAGTAAACGTGTGCCATGGTGGTTTGCTGCATGATCAACTTTGTATATACATATATTGTCATAATTATATAAGTATAACTATTGAGAAAATTTCTAGGCATATAATTTTTGAGCTAAGTATCTGATTTTTAAATACATATTTCTGTCAAATAGTCCTCAAAAGTTTTGGGAAATTCACTATCCTATTTTCAGTGCATCCCAATGCTTATTTCTCCATCCATTTAACATTTGGTTTTATAAAACACTTATATTTTACCTGTAATATGTATTGATGTTTTATACTCATATATATTGTATATATTATTTTATAATCATATATGAGTATTTATACTCTTTACTAGTCTTCATTTTTAAAATTGCATATTTTACTTGTTTTTATTGACAAAAATGTTAGAATCACATACAAAGAAAATGGATACTTTAATTGCAATTAAGTTAAATTAAATAAGTTTATTTGAAGAAAATTGTAATTTTTCCAACTGTGTTCCTTTCTACCTAAGAAATGTTTTGTCTTTCCACTTATTCCAATCTATTAAAATATAGTTTATTAAAGAGCAAAGGTTTTTTAAATTATATTTTGACGTTTCCTTTAAAGTTTTACATAAAATATTTATTCATATTTTATAAATTATTTACATTTTGATCACAGAAGATCCTTAGGTCAAAAGAAGGTATCTTTTTACATACAAACATATACATGTAGAAACATAATAATTGATACACTTTTATCGTTAAACACTATTTGATAAAACCTGATGAAACTGATTTAAAATATTTGATAATACACTGCTTCATTCTATTAGAATTTATGGATTTCTATTTATAAATTAAATTAGCCCATAGTTTGTGTTAGATGTAGTTTCTCAGGTTTTGATATCATGAGTATGTTCAATTGGTAAAATTAATTGGTCTGTTTCTATCTTACAGCATTTGGTGGAATAATTAACGCAGTTTTGAAATTTGTTTTCAAACCCCTGAAACTTAGAGAAAATTCAGCCATGCAATTATATGTCAATATATTTAAAGTTTAGTTTTTTAACATATAATTTCAACTTTTACTTTAGATTCAGGGAGTACATGTGCAGGTTTGTTACATGGGTACAGTGTATGATACTGAGGTTTGAGATGCAAATTATCTCATCATTCAGGTAAGGAGCACAGTACCAAATAGTTTTTCAACCCTTAGCTGTCTCCCACTCTCCCTCATCTAGTAGTCCCCACTGTCTGTTGTTTCCATCTTTATGTCTATGAGTACCCAAAGCTTAGCTCCCACTTATAAGTGAGAACATATAGTATTTGGTTTTCAGTTTCTGCATTAATTTCCCAGGACAATGGCCTCCAGTTGCATCTATGTTGTTGTAAAGGACACGATTTTGTTCTTTTTCACAGTTGCATCATATTCAATATTGTATAAGTACCACAAAAATATTTTCATATAGTTATTTATTTTCTCAAATTTTTGCATTAAATTTTTAGGCTTCTTTTCTTGGAAATCATTCATTTAGAAATTCCAACATTTGTCAGAATGGAATTATGCTTTGGATTATTTTAGGTTTTTACTTTTCCAATCTCTAGATTTGTAGTTTATATATTCCTAATATCCCATTGTGTCTTTTTTGATTAAAATAAACATATTATATGCATATATATGTGTGTGTGTATTATTTTTAGAGCCAACTTGTAGATATCAATTCCACTGTTTTTTCATTTGTTAATTTGTAATTTTTGCTTTTATGCTTTTTAACTCAAACCTTCTGTTTTCTTTAACGTTCTTTTTATCTAACATAACCTCTGGGAAAAAAATGCTCAGTTTATGTATTTTATTTCACTTGCTGAATAATGAAAGCCTTTAAAGTGATGACTTTGCTTCTACTTATATTATTAGCCACATATGTTTTAGTTTGAAGTGTTGTCTTTTCTATTTTTTCTGAATATTATGTAATTGAAGTTTCAATTTTCTCTCTGTACAAAAATTTATTTGGGAGTGTTTTTCTCCCTTTTTTATGTGAAAGTAGTTGTAAATGAATGGCAGTGTATTCAAATAAAGTGTGTGTCTTGGAACATGTTGAAAAACCTTTGTCTTAATACATAATAACAAATACTCTATGGATATGTACAAACCAAATTTATTAAAATTAAGGTATTATTTTTCCCATTATTTATCTTTACTTTCAAGATGCATTTGTGAGTAATTTTTATTCCTTTATTTTTAATACTTTAAGTTCTGGGATACATGTGCGGAACGTGCAGTTTTGTTACATAGGTATACATGTGCCATTGTGGTTTGCTGCATCCATCAACCCATCATCTACATTAGGTATTTCTCCTAATGCTATGCCTCCCCTAGCCCTCGACCCCGTGACAGGACCAGGTGTGTAATATTCCCCTCCCTGTGTCCATGTGTTCTCATTGTTCAACTCCCATTTATGAGTAAGAACATGTAGTGTTTTTCTGTTTCTGTGTTAGTTTGCTGAAAATGATGGTTTCCAGCTTCATTCATGTCCCTGCAAACGACATGAACTCATCATTTTGTTATGGTTGTATAGTATTCCATGGTGTTTATGTGCACATATTCTTTATCCAGACTATCATTGATGGGCATTTGGGTTGGTTCCGAGTCTTTGCTATTGTGAACAGTGCTGCAATAAATATATGTGTATGTGTCTTTATAGCTGAATGATTTATAATCCTTTGGTATATACCCAGTAATTGGATTGCTGGGTCAAATGGTATTTCTGGATCGAGATCTTTGAGGAATCACCACACTATCTTCCCCAATGGATGAACTAATTAACACTCCTACCAGAAGTGTAAAAGCATTCCTATTTCACCACATCCTCTCCAGCATCTGTTGTTTCCTGACTTTTTAGTGATGGCCATTCTAACTGGCATAAGATGGTATTTCATTGTGGTTTTGATTTGCATTTCTCTAATGACCAGTGATGATGAGCTTTTCCTCAAGTTTCTTGGCTGCATAAATGTCTTCTTTTCAGAAGTGTCTGTTCATATCCTTTGCCCACTTTTTGATGGGGTTATTTTTTTCTCATAAATTTGTTTAAGTTCCTTGTAGATTCTGAATATTAGCCCTTTGTCAGATGGATAGATTGCACAAATTCTCTCCAATTTTGTAGGTTGCCTGTTCACTCTGATGATAGTTTTTTTTTTTGCTGTGCAGAAGCTCTTCAGTTTAATTAGATCCTATTTGTCAATTTTGGCTTTTGTTGCCATTACTATTGGTGTTTTAGTCATGAAGTCTTTGCCCAGGCCTATGTCGTGAATGGTATTGCCTACATTTTCTTCTAGGGTTTTTACGGTTTTAGGTCTTACATTTAAGTCTTTAATCCATCTTGAGTTAATTTTTGTATAAGGTGTAAGGAAGGGGTCCAGTTTCAGTGTTCTCCATATGGCTAGCCAGTTTTCCCATCACCATTTATTAAATAGGGAATCCTTTCCCCATTGCTTGTTTTTGTCATGTTTGTCAAAGATCAGATTGTTGTAGATGTGTGGTGTTATTTCTGAGGCCTCTGTTCTGTTCCATTGGTCTATATATCTGTTTTGGTACCAGTACCATGCTGTTTTGGTTACCGCAGCCTCGTAGTGTAGTTTGAAGCCGGGTAGCATGACGCCTCCAGCTTTGTTTTTCTTGCTTAGGATTGTCTTGGCTATGCAGGCTCTTTTTTGGTTCCATATGAAATTTAAAGTAATTATTTCTAATTCTGTGAAGAAAGTCAGTGGTAGCTTGGTGGGGATAGCGTTGAATCCATTAATAACTTTGGGCAGTATGACCATTTTCAAGACAGTAATTCTTCTTATCGAGCATGGAATGCTATTCCACGTCTTTGCGCCCTCTCCTATTTCCTGAGCAGCGGTTTGTAGCTCTCCGTGAAGAGGTCCTTCACATCCCTTGTAAGTTGTGTCCCTAGGTATTTTATTCTCTTTGTAGCAATTGTGAATGATTTGGTTCATCATTTGGCTCTGTTTGTCTATTATTGGTGTATAGGAATGCTTGTGATTTTTGCACATTGATTTTTTCTCCTGAGACTTTGCTGAAGTTGCTTATCAGCTTTAGGAGATTTTGGGCTGAGACGATGGGGTTTTCTAAATATACAATCATGTCATCTGCAAACAGAGACAATTTGACTTCCTCACTTCCTATTTGAATACCCTTTATTTCTCTCTCTTGCCTGATTTCCCTGGCCAGAACTTCCAATACTATGTTGAATAGGAGTGGTGAGAAAGGGCATCCTTGTCTTGTGCCGTTTTTCAAAAGGGAATGCTTCCGGCTTTCGCCCATTCAGTATGATATTGGCTGTGGGTTTGTCAAGAATAGCTCTTATTGTTTTGAGATACGTTCCATCAATACCTAGTTTATTGAGAGTTTTTAGCACAAAGGGGTGTTGAATTTTATCAAAGCCCTTTTCTGCATCTATTAAGATAATCATGTGATTTTTGTCATTCGTTCTGTTTATGTGATGGATTATGTTTATTGATTTCTATATGTTGAACTAGCCTTGCATCCCAGGAGGAAGCTGAATTAGTCGTGGTGGATAAGCTTTTGGATGTGCCCCTGGATTCAGCTTGCCCGTATTTTATTCAGGATTTTCTCATTGATGTTCATCAGGGATATTGGCCTGAAATTTTCTTTTTGTGTTGTGTCTTTGCCAGGTTTTGGTATCAGGATGATAATGGCCTCATAAAATGAGTTAGGGAGGAGTCCCTCATTTTCTATTGTTTGTAATAATTTCAGAAGGTATGGTATCAGCTCCTCTTTGTACCTCTGGTAGAATTCAGTTGTGAATCTGTCTGGTTCTGGGCTTTTTTTGGTTGGTAGGCTATTAATTACTGCCTCAATTTCAGAACTTGTTATTAGTCTATTCAGGGATTCAACTTCTTCCTGGTTTAGTCTTGGGAGGGTGTATGTGTCCAGGAATTTATCCATTTCTTCTAGATTTTCTAGTTTATTTGCATAGCGGTGTTTATGGTATTCTCTGATGGTAGTTTGTATTTCTGTGGGATCAGTGGTGATATCCCCTTTATCATTTTTTATTGTGCCTATTTGATTCTTCCCTGTTTTCTTCTTTGTTAGTCTGGCTAGTGGTCTATTTTATTCATCTTTTCAAAAAAACAGCTCCTTGATTCATTTATTTTTTGAAGGGTTTTTTGTGTCTCTATCTCCTTCAGCTTTGCTCTGATCTTAGTTATTTCTTGTCTTCTGCTAGCTTTTGAATGTGTTTGCTCTTGCTTCTCTAGTTCTTTTGATTGTGATGTTAGGGTGTCGATTTTAGATCTTTCTCACTTTCTCCTGTGGGCATTTAGTGCTATAAATTTCCCTCTAACCACTGCTTTGGCTGTATCCCAGAGATTCTGATATGTTGTGTCTTTGTTCTCATTGGTTTCAAAGAACTTATTTATTTCTGCCTTAATTTCGTTATTTACCCAGTACTCATTCATGAGCAGGCTGTTCAGTTTTCATGTAGTTGTGTGGTTTTGAGTGAGTTTCTTAATCCTGAGTTCTAATTTGATTGCACTGTAGTCTGAGACACTGTTTGTCATAATTTCTCTTCTTTTGCATTTGCTGAGGCGTGTTTTACTTCCAATTATGTGGTCAATTTTAGAAAAAGTGCAATGTGGTGCTGAGAAGAATGTATATTCTGTTGATTTTGGTAGTTTTCTGTAGATGTCTATTAGGTCTGCTCGGTCCAGAGCTGAGTTCAAGTCCTGAATATACTCGTTAATTTTCTGTCATGTTGATTTGTCTAATATTGACAGTGGTGTGTTAAAGTCTCCCACTATTATTGTGTGGAAGTCTAAGTGTCTTTGTAGGTCTCTAAGAACTTACTTTATGAATCTGGGTGCTCCTGTACAGATCTAGTGACCTGCTTGAGGAGGCAGTCTATCCCTTAGCAGAGCTCAAGCGCTGTGCTAAGTGAACTGTTGTTCTCTTCAGACCTAGCAGGAAGGAACCTTTAAGTCTGCTGAAGCTGTGCCCACAGCTGCCCCTTCCCACAGTGCTCTGTCCCAGGGAGATGGGAATTTTATCTATAAGCCCCTGCCTTTCTTTTAGAGATGTCCTGCCCTAGAGAGGCAGTCTGGATACAGCAGCTTTGCCGAGCTGTGGTGGCCTCTGCCCTGTTTGAATTTCCCGGAGGCTTTGTTTACACTGTGAGGGGAAAACTGCCTATTCAAGCCTCAGTAATGGCGGATGACCCTCCCCCAGCAAACTGGAGTGTTCCAAGTCGACTTCAGACTGCTGTGCTGGCAGCGAGAATTTCAAGCCGATGGATCTTAGCTTGCTGGGCTCTGTGGGAGTGGGATCCACTGAGCTAGACCAATTGCCTCCCTGGCTTCAGCCCCCTTTCCGGGGGAGTGAATGATTCTGTCTCACTGGTGTTCCAGGCACCACTGGGGTATGAAAAAAACTCCTGCAGCTAGCTCGGTGTCTGCCCAATTGGCCTCCCAGTTTTGTGCTTGAAACCCAGAGCCTTCATGGCATAGGCACCTGAAGGAATCTCCTGGTATGCGGGTTGCAAAGACTGTGGGAAAAGCATAGTATCTGGGCTGGAATGCACCTTTCCTCACAGCACAGTCCCTCATGACTTCCCTTGGCTAGGGGAGGGAGTTCCTGGGTGAGGCGATACCCCACCCTGCTTCGGCTCACTCTCCATAGGCTGCACCCACTGTCTAACCAGTCCCAATGAGATGAGCCAGGTACCTCAGTTGGAAATGCAGAAATCATCTGCCTTCTGCATTGATCTCGCTGGGAGCTGCAGAGCGGAGCTGTTCCTATTCAGCCATCTTGCCAGCCACCAAGTAATTTCTCTTTCAACTTTAACTTCTATTTTGTAAGCAGGGTTTCCCCTGTAGGGGAAATAATGTAGATTATATTACATCTACCATAGTCTTCATTTATTTACTTTAATTATCTGGTTATTGCATAACTGCTTTCAGCAAGGCCCTATAGATGGCATGCTTCTGAGTTCTTATGTGTCACAAGCTCCTACTATTGATGTTATATAATTTGGCTAGCATTATAGTTCTTAGCTTATAAAAAATTTTCCCTCAAAGTTTTATACACATTTCATCATGCTCTGTCACTGGATGTTATACAGCAAAAAGTCTTTGCTTCTGTCTTTTTATGAAACTAGCCTTTGCAAGATTGTTTTTGTTTAGGCCTGGATGTTCATGTACTTTTTATTTATCTTTAAATTCCAACATGTCATAAGGAAATTTTACCTGAAACTTTAGAGAAGACGGTGTTCTCCACATTCATATCTATAGTTTTCTGAATAAAGTTTTCTTTTGTATTTTGTTTGCCCCAATCATCCCATTTATAGTTACTGTATTTTTTAATTCTGGTTTCTCCTATGTAAAAGTTATTATCTGCATATTTAATATCCCATGATATCTTTGTCTACCACATTGTTTTGCTGTTTTGTTTTTGTTTTTGTTTGAGACAGAGTTTCGCTCTTGTCACCCAGGCTGGAGCGCAATGGCGTGATGTCAGCTCACTGCAACCTCCACCTCCCAGGCTCAAACTATTCTCCCACCTGAGTCTCCCAAGTAGCTGGGATTACAGTAGCCCACCACCATAACCAGCTAATTTTTGTATTTTTAGTAGAAACAGGGTTTCACTATGTTGGCCAGGCTTGTCTCGAACTCCTGGCCTCAGGTGATCCACCCGCCTCAGCCTCCCAAAGTGCTGGGATTACAGACGTGAGCCACTGTGCCTGGCCTGTTTTACTGTTTTTTGTTTTGTTTTTGTTGTTGATTTTTTTTTAAATAAACATTCGTCTTTCTCCTGTTTTCTGGAGGGCTTCCTAAGTTTGTCTATCACTGCACTATTTAGCTTTCTGCAATATGATTTCTAATCTTTACTGCATTTAATGCAAATTTAAATTTTTAAATTTCATTTTTAGCCTTGCGATCGATTTTCTCTACACATTCTTTTCCAGCCTGTTCTCATGCTTCTTTACTTCTCATCTCAATCTCTGTTGTCAGGCCTTTTGTATGTTTAGATTTTTGTTGTAGGAAACAGAATTCACTCTAGCTAGCATAAGCTGAAATAGATGTATTACAGAGTACATGGCTTACAAAACTGCCATAAATTCTGAAGAAACAAATTATTGTTGAGATTTCAGGAATAACTCCTATAAGCACACCGTGGAACTTGGTCACCAAGGGAGACGATACTTCCCCTGTGATGAAAAAACCATCATCTGATGTGAAACATGGTCTACTATAGGCTCCAGAATCATGTACTGTAGGCTCCAGAATCTTGCTGCCACTACTACTGGCCAGAAACCACTCTTATCCATCAGTAAGGCAACACCATCAGGAAATTTCCTTTCCATGGTACCAGCTTCAAACCAATGCTATGCCTGTTGCAATCTATACAGCACAACAGATGCCACACACTCTTACTTGACATCAATGAATCTAGTAGCCAGGAACTAGGACCTCTGCTAATGATGTAGCAGAAAATAAAGCACACGACTTTTTCACGATGATTTCCAGTAGAAATAGAAAAATCTTTTGCTTCACTTCCATCCCCTAAATCTCACTGGAGCTTATCTAGTAGTGGACTTTATTCATATCCAGAATTTTAGTTGTGACAGGGTCGGGAAATAAGATGTGGTTTTCCACCATCTACAATTTCAGAAGCCACCTTGAGAGGAATTTAGATGGATGTTGAGTATGGAGCAAGCAGGTCTTTCTCAATCTTCTACTTTGGATATTCAACTTTATACACATCCTTCTTTTTGATCTTGACCTTCATGTGACAGCAAAGATTGACAAAATATACTCTGCAATAGTATAGCTTTCAATGTACAAATAAAAATTCTTTCATCTTCTCTCTAAAAAGGGAGAGATTAAAATCCCATTAGTCATCTACTCATTTCTTTTTATGTCCTGTCTTGCTTTTTTTTTTTTTTTTTTTTAATAAAGTCCCACTTTGTTGCCCAGGCTGGAGTACAGTGTCATGATCTCAGCTCACTGCAATCTCTGCCTCCTGGGTTCAAGCGATTCTCCTGCCTCAGCCTCCTGAGTAGCTAGGACTGCAGGCATGTGGCACCACGCCTGGCTAATTTTTTTTTTTTTTTTTTGAGATGGAGTCTCACTCTGTCACCCAGGCTGGAGTGCAGTGGCGCAATCTTGGCTCACTGCAACCTCCGCTTCCTGGGTTCAAGCGATTCTCCTGCCTCAGCCTCCGGAATACCTGGGACTACAGGTGCATGCCACCATGCCCAGCTAATTTTTGTTGTTGTTGTTGTACCTTTAGTAGAGACGGGGTTTCGTTGTGTCAGCCAAGATGGTCTTGATCTCCTGACCTCGTGATCTGCCCGCCTCGGCCTCCCAAAGTGCTGGTATTACAGGCGTGAGCCACCGCACCCGGCCAAGAGTTCTTCTTTCTCCCTTCCTTTAGATTTATTTATTTATTTATTCATTCATTCATTCTACAATACTTGCCAATACCCACTGTTTCATTTATTTTACTATAATTTCTTTTACAAAAATGTCTTTGATGGCACCACCTTTGCTTTAGTCTATGTCACCAGAGCATGTCACACTCATAGTAGGTGATTGATTAGTATTGGATTATATTAGATTTTTGATAGTCCAAAGTGGAAACTGTCAAACATTTACCTCTACTTTCTCTGGATTTTTTACGCAATAAAAGTAGATACTTCCTAAAAGTTGTTTTATTTCATATTGCAGAATCTCTTCACAATCTTCACTGCAATTTTTATTTGTTCATTTATTCTTGAAAGAAGAGACAGAAATTCAGGCTGGAAGTCTGCTCATAAACACAGCTTTTCGGTTTAGGGCCCAGCATTATTTCTTCAGTTGGTCCCAAATTTGTGCTGTGAGATATTCAGATGGAGGGCTGGTACATGCAAATTTACATTAGCAATGTAAAAACCCAACTTTTGGAGAGAAGCAACGGGCAGGCTTAAACACAGAACTTTCCCAGCATAGAAAGTAGTTCTTTGTGCAGTTTCTTCTGTATTTGGCAAAGCTGAGCACCATAATACAGTGGCCAGGTCTCTTCTACCCAGCCTCAAGGCCTGGTTTGCTGTGAGGCTGCTCCTATGCCTCCTTCTGGTTTGGCTGCCTTCTTGTCATTAAGGAGCCATTCTTAGGGCGGGCAGATACAATACAGAATGCCTGGTTAAACTTTAATTTCAGACGAATGACGAATACATGTTTAGTTTAAGTATGTGCCTAATATTGCGCAGGACAATGCAATGACAGTTTTTTAAAAAAGCTTTCATTGTTTATTTGAAATTCAAATGTAACTGGGCATCCTGTATTTTGTTTGCTATATCTGGCAAAAAGCAGACATGCCATACCCAGTTGAATTCCTCATGTATTGTCAAGAAGCTAGGAGAACTAGTGACACCACTGACTTTCTAGGAGGTCATATAAAATAGCATTTGAGGGTGTCATCTCAAGTCAGGCTGCCAGAGTGTAAATCTTAGTTCCTTTACTCATTATCTGACCTTGGACAAGTTACTTAAACTTTCTATACCTTAATTTACTTACCTATAATATTCATTTAATAACTGTACCTATATCCAGGGTCAATAGGAGCATTAAGTGTGACAATTCATGTTAAGCATTTAAAAAAGTAACTGGCACATAATAAACTCTCTATAAATATGACTATTTTTATTATTTCTACTGGGAAAATAAGGAAATGCTGGGGTGTCCCCCAACCAACTATTTACAAATGCTCCTTATCCACAGCAGTAGAAGTAATACCAAATTTAAACTCTCCATTTGCCCCATAGAATCTCCTTGCCTCCCATGTTCATCCTTCCAATTATAAAGGTGTCAGTGGTCTGGCAGACTGTCCTCTGATTACTTCCTGAGAGTCTGAACCACTTACTCCAGAGGGACATTTCGAACCAGCCTTCGGTGCCTTGTCATTTCATCTGCACTAAATCTAGCAGAAATACTTTGCTATTTCTGACAATGGAAATAATAACCCTCCTCTGGTCCTTTAACTGATGCATATGAATGTCTATTTTTATATTCCTTTGGTCATTTCAGGAGATATGTAACAGGATGGAAATTAGACCCCTAGACTTGAATTATTAGATTTCTCAGTTTTCTGGAGCATAAGCAAAACCTTCATTTTGTTTTAATTACCTGATTGTATTGATAGTTAATAACTAGTACAATACTTAAAATTCAGACAGACAACAGTGGAGAAAAGAGCTTTCAACATGAGTGTCATTTACTGGCCCACATCTGTGTTGTTTATAATTTCAGCTCAAGCCACCTCACTAGCTCTTTCCATGTTAATGTATGAAATTTTCTCTTTCTGTAGTTAATGTAATACAGACCTAATCCTTATGCAGTGATTCTAGCCTAGGCCCCTTTCCAGTCCTCCGGAGTTATTTATATGCAATTTTCAAACAGAGGTGATCTTTCCTATACGCACTAATAATATTTACATTTTTAAATGGAACACAGACTGAAAGTTGAGGTAAAAGGTTATAAGGTCAAAGAAACATAGAGATTAGATCTTTAACCAAGGCAGACTGTTACATATTGAAAATATCAATATCATATTTTTGCAACTTTTATGCTCTCACTGGAAACATAGATGCCTAATAAAGGGAAGATTACTTTTTAGGAAGAACAACTGTGTTTGTCAACAACTGTTAAGTAGACAATTCGGTGGCCATTAGGATAAAAATATATCTGAAAAATGCCGAATAATAAAGTCTAAAACAGTGGATGAAAGAGAATGGAAATAATGAGTGGTTATATTTCAAACAATCAGTGACAGAAAAGCAAATGGAAAATTAAAGTTAATGAAGCCAGTTTTTCAAGTGGTGACGTCATTAATTGCAGGACGACTAAATGTGAAAAGATTGTTTTAATGGTGCTGTATACAACTCTCAATGAATTAAAAATTTAACAAACACACATCGTGGGATGAATACAGGATCAAAGCAAGACCTGAAAGCAAAAAGTAGGCTAACTGAAGACTGTCCCCACATTCTCGTTTCTCTGGACTCATTCCTCCTGAGAATGACAGAGCTTTATGAAAGGGCAGTTTGTAGACCTCCTGTTAGCTAGCACAGGTCTTGTTGCCATTTTACATTAGAATAAGGTATAAAAGACTTGGTGTAATGGCTGACGCTTTTGCTCTCTACTGTATGAAGAGAGATCTTTTGCAGAGATAATGAATAGCTCCTTCAGTGTCTAATAGAAGTTTCCTACCTTACAGCTCAAGTGGTGGAGGCTTGTACTACCAATGTTAAGCATTCTGAGATATAATTTTTCTTTCTTTGTACATGTTGGCTCTAGTTGTTGAGTCTCATGCCTGGTTGTCTGAAGATAAAATAGATTTATAATTTACCCTTAGAAAATATGACAGTTACAGCATTCAACCTCTAAATTTGGGGAATATTGGCTTACCTATGCATGTGTTAGATTAGAAGTCAGCAAACTCTTTCTTTAGGTGGCTAGAGAATAAATATTGTAGGCTTTGTGGGTTATATGGTCTCTGTTGCAGTTGTTCAATTCTGTCATTTTAGGCAAACATAACTATAGACAATATGCAGATAAATGGACATGGCTGTGTTCCAAAAAACCTGCATTTACAAAAATGAATACCAGGCCTGTGGGCCTTAGTTTTTCAATCTTTGTGCTAGATAACACCATTTCATGTAATAAAGCAATAGATTGCTCTGTTTATTTTTAAATTAAAATGTTAAACAAGGTTACATTATTTTGTTTCTTACTTTTTTAAAGTATATAATATATAATTCATTTACCTTTGTTTTATATATATGTGTTTTTTATATGTATAAACTATAAATTATATTTAAACTTTTATAAATTCTTCAGAATCAGAAGGAATATTTTACAAATATATGCAAACATCACAACTGCTTTATTCCAAGAAACTCCTCATCTCTGTGTTTCTTTTATTTTTATTGAACTTACATAATAAACAACACAAAGGGAAAAGCAAAACTCATTTTTTTTTTTTACCTTAAAAGCAGGCATAGGACAAATATAGTAAGTCATCCTGAAAATGCTGGGATTAGAACTACTTTGATCAGATACCACCCAATACAGCCTAAGCAATGCACTAGTTAGAACACTCAGAAATATGGACAGAAGAGTAATGCAGAATACGTAACTTTTCAAAATGGGGACTGTCCAGTCTCATGCATCTGACCAGAATCAATTCCATTTGAAACCCTCAATAGAAATAGTGTATGTTAAAGAACAAAAGAGACAGCTTCAGGCTGATTTTTTAAAAATAATTTTTCTAATTCTTCATTTTAATGGAACAGAAGAGTTTTCTGGGACTGAAGGGGGAAAAAAGAAGCCCTCTCTGATGAGCTTTGCATTTGCAAATACAACCTGCCACCTGAATAAAGCACAGTACTTTGAATGATGGTGATATTGTCAATGATGCATTTTAAATCAATGTAGCTCTAAAAGAAGGCAAGATCTTTTTTTTAATTTACATTATTGTATTCACCATTTTCTCTGGTCTTTTCCTAGGTAATAAATAATGAAAGGAGGAAATTCTGAACCCTAGTTTTATTAATAATTATTATTATATTAATAACTATTAGAAACATTTAACAAGCAATTATATAGTTCTCCTGTAAAGATTAATACACATCCTGATTACAATTGGAGGTAATAATTCTATAATTAAAATAACCCATAAAGGGAAAAAAATAGTGCCAAGGTGGTTCCAAGCATTATTCTTTTTATGGATATAAGGCTCCTACAGATGTCAAAAGGAGCTCCCCATATGCAAGAAACATATACTTCTGGATTTGGAGAAATATATTGTATAAGATTATTTTTGCAACACAATGGGCTGAATCCAGTGAAGGAGATAATAAGTTAGCTGAGTTACCCAGTGACTACTTTGTGGCATCTTTTGTCAGAAAATACCAGATGAAAGCTTCAGGACATGGAGACCATGACACATGACTTCTAAGCCACATGACCAGAGCTACTCTGCATCCAACAGAGAAAAAGACTACCGTAAGACAAATAGTGCACCTCTGTGTCAGGAAAGGGTGGAGTATTAACAAGAAAAGTCTGAGCTTGAAAAGTGAGGCAGGAAGAAGAGCAGTGAATCAAAAGTGTGAAGAGCATTGCAAATGTTGTCTTCTTCCCTGTTCAGCAAATCGTCACCCTTAGACCTCTGGAATTGCATCAGCCTCGCAATGTCATTGTCAAACCCGAGCCCTGCATTCTAATAATTAAAAGAGACCAGAAAGCATTAGTTATCCCAGATTGACTCACTTCTCTGTTATAAAGTAGAGAAATAAGCCTTTTGGGGGAGCTCTGTGTGTTTTCTGATGAACCAGAAACCACAGTGGGATTTTGATACTCAATTTTAGCCCTAGGTTAAGTCAGGGAGCGCAGTCTTTCAAAATTAGAATAAAATAAAAGAACTCATTAAAGACATGTTATAATCAGGAGCGTTTAGTCTTAGATAAGACTTTGGAAAAAGGTGATAATAAATAATCCTTCTACAGTGTTAAGAAATATATTTATATTAGAACTGTTGTCTAAGATATCATCACTTAAGTAAACCTGGTGGCCGTCTGTGGGGAGAAATTAATAATCATTTTTTGTTACCGCCAAAACTACAAAGTTAGTTTCTCATGGAAGAATTCTAAATTCTGTCTGACAATTCTTTGTAACTGCAACAGTGTATGCCTTGTGGATGTTAGAGACTCATGCTTGTTGAGATATTAGTTGATAAATTTGGGAACTCTGGCTTTAAATCAGCACTGAGTGAAAAGCATCCTTGTCTCCAAAAAATAAAAGCAAGAAAAAGCACTAGAAAAGTCAGAACTAATGATAATAACACTGATAATACACTTCATTAATGAAAACATTTAGGTATTATATATTTCCAACTCCAGGTGAGATAGTGAAATAAGAGAATTTTAACATCGGTGCTGCCGAGCCTCCCACTTCACCATTGATTCTCCAAGCTCGCTCTCCTTCTCTCCACAAGTGCTCATATCCCAGTAAAGGTTATGGTATTTTTAAAGTCTCAAAACACCAATAATAGCATGCAAAAATACCAATATATCCATTTGTTATAAGTAAAGTTATAATGGACATATGGAAAATAGGTTTTTCCTTTTTTCTCTCTGATAAAAAGAAAAGACCACTAGGCACTAATGTAGTTGCACAATATAAATCCCGGTAACTTCTTCCCACTTAAGATTGGCCCTACCAAAGGATCTTTAATTGCAATGACACCAAGAGAGTGTGTTTTGTTTCTACCCCACATGGACGGTTACTATTCATTGTCATGTGATAGTGTTTTAAGGAAAGAGAAAGATGAAGGGAGAGAGGTACAAAGAGAAAGAGTGAGAAACACCTTACATAATATATGCGATTCTGCCTATCAGTCAAACTCAATGAATACACATCCCAGACTTAGCATATAAGAGATAGGAATTAATTTCTCTTAGTTTTTAAGTTTAATTACCTCTCATACTGAAATCTTTTAATTATGCTCTGCTGAATGTGATCAATTTTAAAAAAATGTATATTACACAGCCCACAGTTGGTAGCCTCTTCTAATACTTAACCAAATAGTCATCCAGTTCAACTCTGGAAGAAAGACTGATTTGTTGAACTTACAAAGATTATGTGCCATTTTCTAAAGTGGTGCCTTCTTATGGACTTTTATATGACTGTCACCCTAAATGCTGACTTTAGAACAAAGAGTAAGTTTCAACTTCCTCACATGCCTTTCTTGGAAATTCACAATCCATACACATAATAACATTCTGAGATGTCCTGTAGTAAGGAAATCCATTTAACCTTGTTTAAACAACATTTCTTAAATATATTTTCAACAGAACCAATATTTTGTAGAACAACCAGTCCCCTTTGTTATGGTGACAATGACAGAGAAGAGATTTCCAACCAAAGGAATAGAACGTGTACATCTGTGAGAAAGCTTTCAGCTGCAAAAATAGGAAACCAATTGCTCAACAATAAAAACTTTAAAAATTAAAAGGCACTATATCTTTGTATTGCTCAAAGTTCTTAGTTGTGGATAATAGAAATTAACTCCAGTGGGTTTAAGAAAAAATAATCTTGAATAGATGGCTCTCAAAATCGCTAAGTTAACCAGAGATAAAGGTTTAGAGTTTATGTAGCCAAGGATGAAACTGAAATCATCTCACAAAACCAGTTTTATGAAGATAGCATTGCCATAACCCCTAGGCATGGCAAGCACATCTTTCACCACTGGCCTAACCAGAGTTCAACCTGAAATAATGCTCTAGCAATGCTACCCAGCTGCTTCTGGAACGTGAATGCAGAAGCAGGTGCTTCCATCACCTTTACTCACAGGGCTTCCTTGTTCCTTCATGTCAGTGACTCCTGTTAAAATTATGGGGCAGAATCTAGCTTGCATTCCCATGCCCAAGATGCAAGAGAAAATGAGAAACCATACAACTAATAATTTTAGCTTTTATAATGTATGGCTGGCTCTACTTGTAGAGAGAAGAATGTCCTAACACGGAAAGGATATTGAATTGTTTTATATTCACAAGGGAAGACAAATGCCCATTGCACCTACAGGATCAAAAGTCCAGTGCTTGAGCAGCTCCAGAGTGATAATTTATTAACTCAGTGCTGCCAGCAAGAACTTAGTTTCTTCTCATCTCTTCCCTCTGCAGTTCTCAGTAAGCTGCCTTTTGGCCTTTACTTGACTTTATCCATGGTGGCAGGATAGTTAAAGTATCTCAAGCATCATACACCCATACAACAATATCCAGTGGCTGGAAGGAGAAGAGAGCAATGCCTTCTCCTGTTTCTCTTTGTAAGAACCCAAAATTTAGAAACTCTACAAGAACCTTCTGCTCTTGTTACAGTGGTTATATTCCCATTCCCATTCCATCATTGATTAAATTTTTGGAATAATTGGAATAGGATAATTCATGCCTGAATCTCCCTGGGGCCTGAGAGGGCATAGCCTCCCTTGAAGTCTATGCCTGCCTGGTTCCTGAGCTAGGATGCAGGAGGTTATAACTGTTCAGAAGACCAGTGACTGTGGCATCGCAGGTGAAAGCTGCAGCCTTGTAAGTGCATTCCATGTGGAAATAAGAAAAACCTGTTGGCAAGGCAGACAGGTACATGGAAGAAAATATTCATGATGCTGAAAAAGAAGCATAGAATATAACTGGGAAGGAAATTGTACACCAGGCTAAATTGTTTGAGCATACTACTCAAAAGAGCCACATATCTGAGATTTAGAAACAACAGCACTAACCCTAATTGTAATTCTTTTAACCTTAACTTAAAAGAATCTACTATAATTGCCCATTACTAGTAGAAAGCACTACTTGGGAATCACTGTCTCAAGAGTTGGGTCTTTGCTTTGTATTTCCTAGGTGTGAAGCAAATTTTCACTATGTCTGTATGTAATTTCCATCTCACTTTTGATTACCTCTCTACGTAATGACTTTGCATCATTATGTAGCTTCTGTATCTGCCCAGAAGGCTGAGGTTTCTCTTTATAGTTAATACATTGCCTATGTTCCTGAGGATTACTGTCGGGCTCATATTTGGCAATATAATGTAAATTTCACTACGTTAGGGAGACCAGAGACAGTGCTCTGATGAGTGGGGTCAACAAAGGGACAATAGTGGGGTGAGATACTGAGAAGGCATTTGAAGGGGTGACACCAAACAGCTCTGGCAGAATCCTGACTTTTTGCCATGTGCATAAAACATTATGTCACATTTTGTATACTTTTCTTTTGTTTCAGTATGACTAACAAGATCAAGGTCTCTGATGCTCTATTATTGGACTCCCGACTTCATTGTTTTTCTGCATCTGTACATGTGTGTCCTAAAACAGCTGCATAATTTCTAAATCATTCTCTTCTCCAGGCCCAGGGAAAATAACCAGGAAGAAACTTGTCTGGGCTTAAAGGTATGAGGTTTTCTAGACAATGGGTGGACTGCAGTATTGAGGGGAACACTTAATATACTTGAAAGATATTCACTTACATGTGTCAGTCCTGGGAATGAGCAAGACGTAAAATCTTTTAGGATAAAAGTGTCTTTCTTTTACTACTGCTTGAACTTCTGGGTAAGAATAGCAAGAAGGCATGAAGAAGCCCCTAGGACTACTTATTGATATGAAGATACTCTTCAGAAAGGTCTGGTTAACAGAATAGTGAGGGAAGGGATCGATAATTTTATTACCTATGGTTGTTACCTACACAATTATCCTATAGGGCTCTAACTTGTACCTCATCAAAACTATCCAAATCCACTACTGATATACCAATAAGCTAACTTCATCTTTTTGAATGTTAAAAATGTTCTTTTTGAGCATAAAGAAATTTTCTCAATTAAAACTCCTTCAGGCCGGGCGCAGTGGCTCATGACTGTAATCTTAACTCTTTGGGAGGCCAAGGTGGGCAGGTTATTTGAGCCCAGGAGT
This sequence comes from Homo sapiens, assembly GCF_000001405.40. NCBI lineage: Eukaryota > Metazoa > Chordata > Mammalia > Primates > Hominidae > Homo > Homo sapiens. The sequence continues at coordinate 115,877,190 of NC_000007.14, read as the reverse complement.
TTGAGACTAGGCTGGGAAACATGGTGAATCCCCATCTCAACAAAAAATACAAAAATTAGCCAGGTATGGTGGTGCACATCTGTAGTCCCAGCTACTTGGGAGGCTGCGGTGGGAGGATCATCTGAACCTGGGGAGGTCAAGACAGCAGTGAGCCGTGATCACACCACTGCACTTCAGCCTGGGTGACAGAATGAGACCCTGTGTCAAAAATAAATTAATTAATTAAACTCTTTCATTTGTAAGTAAAAGAAACCTTAAGTCCTTTTGCTTAACTGGCAAAAGGAAAACATACTGCATCACACAATGGAAATGTCTATAGGAGAACTGGTTCTAAGCACATCTTGAGGCCGAGGTTTAAATCACACAAACAGGACCCAATGTATCTTTCTCAACTTTTTCTGTGTTTACTCCGGTTTCAGAGAGGCAAATCTCTGATTGTTGCCCAATGGCAAAGCAGCTCCAGATTTTATATTCTCACGACCTCGAGGACAATATAAAAGAAAAACTTTTTTTTTCAATATTTATTCCAGCTAAATTTTACTGGTTGTGACTGAGCCACACATACTCATTCCTGAACCTCTCACTGGCCCAGGTAATGTGTCTGCTCTGACATCTCATGCAGTCACTGCTGGAGCCTGGAGGGAACTCAACCCCATTAGAGAAGGCAAGAAACTAGAAGAGACTGAGACGGTGTTCTCTAGGAAGGAAGTTTGGTCAAGGTTTCCAAAAGAAAAGGTCAACAAATGCTGAGGATAAAAATAAACTGACGTCTTCTAACACTATGAAAAATTATCTGATATTTAGCCAAATGCAGAGATTAAAAGAAGAAGGTAGACATTTAGCAGGGTGGGGGAAGAAGCCATGAAGGAAGTGGCTGCTGACAGAAGGCAGGTAACAGAGTCAAAAGCTGAGCATCTAACTTAGAGATTAAGCAGGAAAAGGAGAAATGGGCACTGAACTCTGCAGAAAAGAAATAAGCTATTGTTTCAAGGCTAGGTATATATATATATTTTTTACATCTAAAAGAATTGTTCCTGGAATGTGGGGAATTTATTATTTGTATTTATTAACATTCAATATCATTTATTGACAGTTTACTATGTGCTATTTTCTATGTTAAACGTTTTGTGCATGAATCTAGTAGTGGTTAGGAGGGGAAGCTCTCAAATAAGACTACTTGTATTTTAATACTCGTTAAATCATTTAACAACTTGTGAGTTTTGGCAGATGACTTTAGACTCTGTGGTTGTTTCCTCATCAATAAAATGGGGAGAGAGAGAGTATCTAATTCAGTAGGTTGCTGTGTTTAGAATATTTTAAAGTATTTAGAACATTATTTATCACATAGTTGCTGAATAAATAAACATTATTAAGTATTAAGTATCATTGTTGTTATAAAGTACTAATTTGTTTAATCTTTAAGTATGAAGTACTAATTTGTTGTTATGAAGTACTAATTTGTTGAAGGCTTAAACGTATGAGACAGATATTATTATTATTAAACATAAATAAATTAGAAAAAGAGAGTAAATACTCTTTAAAGTCATGCAGCTATCAAACTGTAGAGCTGGAATCTGAATCCACACCCTTCAACTCCATAACCTGTGCTGTAAACCACAAATTAAACAGCCTTTTAGGACTCTAGATCTTCCAACAGCATTTAGGACTCCCTGAACATATAGAATAGATAAAAGGAAAAAAAAAAAAAAACCAATTTGATCTCTCTACCTCTTTGCCTTAATATATTTTATTATTCATGTTTTTCAGAGGCAGCATAGACTATTGTACATTAAATAATATAGATTGTACACTGGGAAATAGTCTCATGGAGGCAAAAAGCAATCCATGTTCTCATTTCTAATTCAAATTTGGTCATAGCCTGAAAATAACAGTAACTAGAAATTATACTAGAAAATGTAATCAATCAACTAGGTAGCCTGCATATTATTAAAGACTTAATTTGCTGGGACCAGAAGTCCATCTTTTTCAGTTAAAATAAGACTAATGCTTAGCATATCAATATTTAAGCTGAACCTATTTTTATTAATTAGGATTTGAAGGTTGTCAGAAACTCACTGCAAATCGTCAATTACCTGGTACCTGGGATGTCCCTTATAAGAATATCACATTACACAGCCATAAAAAATTCAGTGATAAAGAAGAATGTGCAAGAAAATCTTCATTTAAAATTGAAAGAATGAAAATTAACCCTTATTCTTTAAGAGGCTTATATTTAACTTTGTGTCTTTCTAGGTTTTAAAACTATTAAAGAATATTGTAGATACCAGTTCATTCTTGTTCTTCCTAATCCAATTGAATCTACTTTAAATAGCCATAATTGGTGATTTTCCAGATCAAAGGTCTTCCTCAGATCAATGAGCAGAGCTTGTCTATATTGATTACTAGCCATGCCTATGAAAATATCATTCGTTACCTCGGGAATGATAGTGGAATGAAGAGGCTAACACCAAATTGGAAGGAGATCAATGAGTTTCATGTAGATAAAAATAAGCATGTTACCTGAGAAGAGAACATCAATTTTTTATGGACCAAACAGCAAAGGAAAAAAATGATCTAGTAGGTCAGTCTTCTGAATGCTCAGAATGTCTTCTTATTCATAGTGAAACTTCTTCTAGCAGAATTTCATCAAAGGGGAGAGGAAATAAAATGGTTGAGAATATTTAATTTATATTGACTGTTATAAAAAAACCCCTACATTTTATTTTTTAAAGTCTAAGTCTTACTTTCTGTACATATTTATGAAAAACAATAAAAATATCTGATTTTTCTGCAGAACTTCATTTCACATAACTATTTCATATCCTGATGGCTATGGCTTCTGCATGAACAATAACCTGGTTGACTAAGAGAATGATTAATTTGGAACAACTTAAACTAAGGAATCATCTGAACAAAATGCAAGTTAAAAAAAAAAAACCACTAAGATTTTTGACAGAATTTTTGTTCCCCCCCCCCACCTTATGCTTAATGCCATCCATAGGTTAAATTACCTCCAACTATAGACAGCCAGGACTATTAAAGTATTCCTATGCCCTGAATGCTCAGAAAGTTTTAGTCAAGTCAGACTTGATATGATAGCATGCAGATGTTACAATCACACAATGAGAAGCAATGAATTTGGTTGAGACTTACCCATGCTACCAGAGGCAAACACTGCATTTCTAGCTACCTATGGCTAGGCAGAGATGATTTACCAAAGAAGATGTAATAAGCAGAACTTATCTAAAAGAGGTAAAATGGAAAATCAAGCCTAGAACAAAGGGAACAAGAATATGGTGTAACTGAGAATAAGAAGAGAATAAAGGTAAAGGATCAAGCTGACAGCAAAGGCTGATACATTTCCCAATGGACTGTGTGGACGGAAGTTTTGTCCTAATGTCATGTTTTGCAAGCGGGTTGAGGAATTCCTTTATCAGCCCCTCAGCCGTCCTTTCAAATTTGTCCACCCTGATCTTACAGGGGTCCATAATGTGTACTCTTCAGTTTAGAAGTTTTATGCTTCTGTCTCCAGAGATCGTTTCAATTCCTCTGCAAACCAGGAACTTCTTTGGATACTAAGTTCTCAAGCTCTGGAATTGTACCTTGGGGTGTGGCTTCAGAGAGTGGGACACTTGCACCATATGGAAACCTTCTACAGTAAGTAAAAAATAAGAATAATTAGCTTTCAGCATTAGAATAAACAGACCAACTGGAATGCACATATACAGTGTTTAATTTCCAGGATAGGTTGTATTTCATACCTGATCATTGTGGATGTCTATGAGCCATGGTAGTGAATACCTCAGGGACCATGATTCTCACTGGCATTTTTTACCTCCGTGGCCACCACACATCTTAGAAGCTTCCATTCAAAAAGAAGTTGCCTGAGATCCTTAAGACCTAACAGACACAGAGGATTGGACAGTTCAAACCACAAGTAAAAATTAATACAGAAAAATTCAAGTCCAAAGTGAGCTAATATCAGTTTTCCCAGCTCACGACCAATGGCAGAGCATTGAAATGTGGTTTTCGGGCAGTGGCAAGAAGTCTCAGCATTATGTAGAGTGAATAAGTCACACACAAAAAAGTCGCAAAACAAAGAAGTTCATCCAAGGCTATGGGAAGGGTTTCAGAGATAAGGTCCAGACCCAGAACTGAAAAGGATAGGCAAAGACCTGAGGGCCAACTGAAGAAGGTACAGCCCCAGCAGACAATTAGAATGGAATTAGAACCAGGGACTGACTAGGATAGGAGGACCAGTCACCTTTTCCTAGACCTGAATCAAAGATGCAGCCCACAGGGATGTCTTGGATACAAGTTCAGATCCTTTTTGCTAGTGGGAAGGAGCTTCAATGTTCAAAGTGGGTACCTGGTAGAAAAGGGGGGCAGTTTGATCTTTCACATGGCAAGTTTTTGTTGCTAAGAGCTGAGGAAGAGCCACGGCAGGTGGGGTGACGCTGGTGAGTTGACAGTTCCATTGCACTTATCAAAGACCTTGATACAGCATTTACTTAGGGGACACGGAGCAGGATCAAAGTCTCTCTCAACCAAATAAACGGTGGAGGACTAGAGACATACCACGATGTTCACTGACCGCTCAGCAGTGTATATGTTGCTTGGGGTTTATAATTTCTTTTCTCATGTCTGTGTTTCTTAAAATATCTGCAGTGAACATTTATTACTGTTGTAATAAAAAGAAGATCTGATTTGAAAGTGAAATGTTTTGAAAAGGTATTTTTATTACACTATGTATAAAGAACAAATAAGTAATTTAACTGGTTATTTGTTAAACATATAAACAGTATACTTACTGTCTTTTTTTTCACGTTCTCCTTACTCATAAACTATTTTAATTAGAGAAACATCTTTGAGTAAACTCTTATAAACTGTGTATGATGACAACTGATCAACTGCTAGTTTAAATTTATTCACTGAATTAACAAATATGAATAAGATATGTATATAAATATTATTGTACAACACCAATCAAAAGTAGCATTCACAGCCAGAAGAATTATTAGAAAATTGATTGTTTTGAATTATGTTTATATTTTCCTTGGAAAGGAAACAAAACAATAGGCCGGGCTCAGTGGCTCACACCTGTAATCACAACAATTTGGGAGGCCGAGGCAGGTGGATCACCTGAGATCAGGAGTTCAAGACCAGCCTGGCCAACATGACGAAACCCCACCTCTACTAAAAATGCAAAAATTAGCCGGGCATGGTGGCATGTGTCTGAAGTCCCAGCTACTCGAGAAGCTGAGGCAGGAGAATTGCTTGAACCTGGGAGGTGGAGGTTGCAGTGAGCCGAGATCGTGCCATTGCACTCCAGCCTGGGTGACAGAGCAAGACTCCATCTCAAAAAAAAAAAAAAAAAAAAAAAAAAAAAAAAAAGAGAGAGAGAGAAAGAAAAAGAAACAATAACTAGCTGTGTAAGTTTGTATTACTTAATTGCAGTTATCGGTATATAAAATTATAAGAGCTGTGCTTTCAAACTGTAATATTTGTATATGCATCAGATAAATATCTTTGGAATGATAGACAAACATTTATAACATTGACTGTTTTCAGAACAGGGAATTGTGATAAGGGGCAGATGAGGGAGACTTTTTGCTGTATATTTTCAATACTTTTATAAAATTGAATATAAGAATGTGTTACCTACTTAATAAATAGATATATATTTAAACAAAAGTTGAAGTAAGTTGTCTCAGTAGTAAGTGGGAAGTTAAAATAATACTTGGATAATGCACTGCGCATGCCTGAATATAAGAAGAGGTTCCCATCTTCCCATTGTCTTTCAAAAGGAGAGAATTATTTGCTTTACATTTGAACCCTTACAAAATAGCTCATGTTATAGCTGCTTTCCCAATTACCTTATTTTGCACATCAACGTTCCATTTGGCAAGTCATTTTATTAGTGTTACAATCAATGCTGGCTTTGCATGACCTTAGAGGTTAACTGATGGGATTTTTACAAAAGCAGAAACAGAAATTGGGCTTTATTTCTCAATAGGTGTTGGATTTCATTACAAATAATTCTGTTAAACATCACTTAAAAGTAATGTTGTACTTTATGGTTTGGAGATAAAAATAACAATGAAAAATAAGTCCTAATGTTAAGCTTATGGGTTCGTGTCTCTTGGGATATACTTTAGGGACAGTTCATAAAAAGAATGAAAAATGTGCTGTGTTGCAAACAATGATAGGTGAAAATAAAAACTATATTCTCTGGAAAAATTTGTAAAATAACTTTAAAAGTTTCTCTACTAATGACCAAGACACTGAGGTCAAAGATGTGTCTCGAGAATTTAATAAAATTTTTCATGAAATTAAGGAATGGAGAAAAGGGTATGGAGAAATTAAGAAGTGGAGAAAAGTGAATATTACACTATTATCTTATATATTATTTTAAATATACGTAACTAAGGAAATTATTTTAAATACTAAAAGTAGACATTTGGCTACCTCATATGCTTCGGTGTTTATATATTCAACTGACTGAAAATAAAATCTTTAATTGCATCTTCTCATTGGAAAAGTAGGGAGTTGCCTTATTTTGCGGTGACCTTATATTTGGTATTGTAAGGTATTTTAAACTTTCTCAAATAAATTTATGTTCAACATTTTCCAGAACTAAAGGTGAGATTTTGTTCATGCTTTTCTAACCGTGTAGACTTTTAAATTATTGTTTAGTAAGGCTTTCAGATTCAGACAACTTTTATTCTACAGCGCTGTAAAGTGTCTCATAACTGCGCAGATGGTATAAAAACAGGTAAAATTGCCTTTGAATCACATCACATTAGATGCATTATGACCCAAGGAGAAGATATAATCCAAAATTAAAATTATTTTAATAAAGCTAGCTTAGGTCTCTTTGAGATTTTATTTCCCGCAGTGTCAGGTAGACTGCAGAATAAAAGCTTTTCTGTTTCGTTAGTAAAAACCACTGTATCATCACAGAGTTTGCAAATTATCCACAGCTACTTCAAATAAATACTTCTCCACAGTGCAGTGCTCTTAAAATATTTTGGGTAGTTGAAACAAATCACATTAACTCATGCACCCATGGAAAAAAATGCATGAAAGTTGAAAACACAAACACTACTGTGGCTTATGAAATTTTTAGATTAATGTAAACAGGGTGACTAAAATGCTAATCTTTTATTTATTTAAAACAATGAGCAAGGTCATGAACATAATTCACCATACTGATTCTGGCATGTAAGGGGAAAGTGAAGGCCCTATCAGTAAAGAAAGGAATGTTAATTCAAAATTAATGTGCTAGATCCAAATCATGCTGTTTACTATAGTTTTGACATGATATCACTCTTTTTCAGTAAGGATAAAAAGTGACTGGTAAGCTTTTTTTTTTTTTTAATGAGTAATGCCTATATAGAGTATAAGGGTTTAAAATAATTTTTAAGCCTGAAATTAAAATTAAAATTAAAATTCATGTTAAGCTAAAACTACACATCTTAATGTATGTTTTAAAAGGACAAACTTTAGCCTGTGTACTACAAGACAGTCATTTGCATGTAAATAAACACAAATTAAGCCAATTCATTAATTTGATTATAAATTTTCAACAAAATTTCTCTATTACTTTGGAGGAATGCCTGTGTTTAATGCTTTCAAATGAAGGTCATGTGAGCAAATCTTGTTTTGTCAGGTGGATGGTCTATAGTATACAGAGCTTTGATAAAAACCAGCTGCTATGACCTGATATTGGTTAAGGCTGAAAAACCAGACAGTGCAAACAAATACTATATCTTGGCTCAAAATACTTCCCACATCTGCCAACAATTAGTTATGTATCAGACCTAGAAAGGGATGCTGAAAAACAGGATAAGATTTCAGAGCAAGCAAATAAACAAGCCGCCCTGCATTATTCATCATCGAATGAATGCAGAGGTACTCAGTTTTTATACTGAAGCTCGAACTGTCAATCCTAGAACTCAGCAGATAATGTTAGATAAAAGGGTGGTGGGGACTTTGCAAGTTGATAGTCTAATCAGATCACTGACTTAAGGATGCCACCCAACAACTGTTTATTATTCCAGATAAAAGAGACCATGCAGAGAGGTTAGAACACTAACCCTCAGAAACAGAAAATTTCAAAAGCATTCAGATGCCATCTGCTGATATTTCTGGTCAAGATTTATGACACAGTTTAAGGTACAATAGATAGAAAGAACAAGACTGGTCTTAACTACTGTGCCTTCATTCCCCCCAGAAATCCACCTTTCTAACTCTCCATTTAGTTTCCTTTCGAAGCCTACTCAACTTTCCTAAGATGATGGGTCTATTCTGGATGATTTTTACTTCCTTGGCCCTGAAATATGGCTTCCCAGATGAATTATTTATGGTATCATGATTGCCTATTTAGCCTTCTCTCTTCACTCTCTAACCCAAGAATTTTCATTTTCCTCTATCTCATACATGGCTTCTTGGTGTCCCAGTCTACTGAAGTGGTCCTAACTGTTATAAGCCAGTCTGGGCTGCAAACATTTTCGCCATTGCCCGGAAATACTCCATGCCCCTATCACATTTGTTGCCATTGCTGGGTCTCCATGCCTTAACAGGTTAACCTGCAGATCTGCTTCCAACCAGAGGCGGTGAATCTCTTCCTCCTCTCCTTGTAGTGGATACCCATCTCAGAGAGTTAAGCTGCTAGATGAAAGGTGCCAGTCTTGCTGCCCAGAGCAAAGGAACTTTCCTCGTAATGCTTCTCTCATTATTCTGCTCCTCCCAGTAAACCTGTCTTCTTCTCTTTTCCCCCAGACTTCTGGTTACTCACCTCTTCAGAAGTGTTAATCAACAGATTCACTGTCAAGTATTATGTTTCTCTATTAAACTGACACTCTACAACTCTCTTTTTGTTCCTTGTTTAGCTGTTTGTCAGAGACATCTGAAAATCAAGGGTAAAACAGAGTGTATATATACACACACACACATGCATGTATGTGTGTGTGTGTGTGTGTGTGTGTATATACATACCTACATGGACACATACACGTATCATATATACATATGTATGTATGTAGGTATATATATCATATGTATATATGTCATATGTTGGATGACATTATCTGTAGAATATGGGTAATTGAATTGGGTGGGAAAAAGATGTATTAAACAAATAATTCTTCCACACACAGCCAACGTTTATTCAAGAACATTATTTTAAATATTCATTAGTAATAAAGCAAGGAAGTTTGGCTATAGAGCCTCTTCAATATAAAAAGAAGATGGACTTTTCTACTCCTATATTCCACTTGAAAGAATAATTTAATTAAAAGGCAAAGCTGGCAGGAACTTTATAATCTGCATGCGATGCAGGATATTATATAATGACCTTCATTTAAAACCCAAATCATTAAAACTAGTAAGTCTAACTGGTGACAAGGGAGATTTCAACATCAGGCCCAACAGCTTAAAAATATGAATAAAAATCATAGCTTAAATGAATCAGTCCATTGAGAACTTATCGCAAAGTAAAATGAGAAAAGAAAAAAGTTACCTAGGCAATGAATCCTTCTGCTGCACTATTTTATCTTTTGACATGTGCTTCTTTTTTTCTTCCCTTTTTGGTTTTTTTTTTGTTTTCAGAATTTCCTCCTTTGTATGAAATAAACTTAAATCCATTTCCTAGGAAAAAATTATTTTAGACAATTTGGATGCACCAGAGAAAATAATTTTTAGAGGTGGCTAAATCACTTCTCGCTCACCCCAGCCTCATTTGTCACATCATCTCCAGAGATGTGAGCATTTGAAATAATGTGAGGGAGCTGAGGCCCCTTAGAGGAGCATAGAGAATTGACGACTCACTCATAACAATTCCTGGACATTTTTCAGCGGCAATTCACTAGCTGAAAATTATGTGTTTAGTTTCTGTAACACATATCTTTGTTTTGGCACCAACTTTTTTATATGATAGCCACTCAATACAGATTTGATCAGATCAACCATTAGATCAACATTTAAGTAGGGGTGAATTCTTTTCTAGTTGTTGAAAATGTTTCTAAGCTTTGGAACAAAGCAGCATAACTAAGCCACATTTTTATAAAATTATATAATAATATTTTATGTTCATCAAATTCTCTTTTCTTATATTTTATCTCTCTTTTTTGTTTCAGTTCTGTTTACTTTTTCACGCAAGTGATTATTAACCCAGTTTTCCTCTGTCTCCTCAAGGCCTGAGTTCTCAGGCAGCAAACACCATCAACTTTCCTTTCTTTTGATAACTTTCAGAAGGGAGTCAAGGAAACCCAGAACACATCATCTTCTTTGGAAACATGATGCCAGAGTTACTAGGAGAAAGATGAAAATTAAGTCAAAGTGATCATTTGATCTTATGTGAAAAAAGTTGTCATGAATTTATGACGACACACTTAACAATTAACTCCGTTCTCATTCAGAAGTGGAATCTGCACCAAATCAATAGAATACAAAATAAAACATTTCCTCAACCAGTGAAGTTATTTGTTTATAAGCAAACAACCAATTTAACTAGTTACTTAAACATGAATTGACTAGGCACTCTTATTAACCAATAATTTAGTCATGTAATTAGTCAAACTAATTGCTTAAGCAGATTTGACCAATCTGTTGATATTTATGTGGCATTAATGTATTAAAGGCTAATACCATAGAAAGGAAAACCAAGAAAAGAAAAATAGATTTAGCATCTGGAGTAAACTGTCTTTGTCAAGTAATTTTCTTGTTATTTCATCAAGGAAAATAAATATACATTAATTTAAATGGAAAACAATTTACTGACTAAGGGGTATAAGGACTGAGTTCTAATCCTTGGTCATCTTCTTTTTGTGATCATGTTGGACAAAGTATGTGAGACTTTCTGGTCCTCATTTTCTTTGTCATAAAAGCATTGGGTTAGCTAGATGATCTCATAGTTCTGTTTAATTCTCACTATCTATAGCTGTATGTGATGTTAGATCTGGAATATGTGTCCCAAAGGACAATATAAATATGAAGCCAAATAGGTCTTGAAGTCACTAAATTTCCATGAATATATATTACTAATTAATGATATTGTTATTAGCATTTTATAATGCAGCTATAAAGGAATGTACTTGTAACTATGTGAAATATGAAATGATTACTGAAACAGATTTAATGCTATATAGTACAGTAATAGAGTTTCTCTTGTTAAAAGTAATCCCCATAAAGTGTTTTTAAATAATTGATTGGCTTTTCAGTGACCTGATTTACAATAAAATAATTGAAACCTAAATAAAGCTAGTAATAATAACCTTAAAAGACACATAGAATGACAAACACAAAACTTTGTATTAGTTGGCATTAATTTTAATTTTTTTTACATTTGGTTTAATAGTATATTAAAACATGTAATTATGAACTTTTGTATGTTTTTGAAGAAACAGAGTGAAATATATTGTTCAATAGGCAAACCAGATTCTTTTTGGGAAGTAATCTCTGAAACATTTTTTAATTTTTAAGAATAAAAGAAAATGAATTAAATTAGATGTAGTAACAAACTAATGCTAATATATCTCAAACTTTTAAGAAGTACTACAGTGCATACTATCCTACTATTTAACTGCGAAAATTGGCAAAGATTTATTGGGAAACTTTAATTTGTTCAATTAGTCATTCACTAACTCAACAAAGATTTACTGACAAAAATATAAGGTATGTATATTAGATAAAGCATGTACTTTGGAGATTAATATTCCAGTTCAACTATTTATGAGTTTTAGCTTAAAACCTTCACTGAACCTCATTTTTAAAATTTTCATTAATGATTCCTAACTCATATGCTTGTTGTGGAGATTTAGAAGAGTTAACACAGTAAAGTCAGGACAAAATAAATTTTTGTTGAACTGAATTGTAATTACCTCTATCCAACCATACAATAAGTTCGTAATAGGTGTTTACAATTCACATATGAAACACCGTCTCTGCCCTTAAGGAATCTCAAAATCTAGAGTGTGAGTCTGTTTATTTTGAGAATGAGAGAGGATAGAGGCTGTGTAGTAATGTAAATAAACTAAGAATTACTCTGAAAACCCAGAGACCTGTGCAACTACATTAATTGTGGAGATTAGCAAGTTTACATCATGAAGTACATTTTTACTTAGATCTTATAGAAAGAAGGAGAAATTTCATATCAGGAAGCAGGGAGATAAATTATATACAAGAAAAAAGAACAGCATGTGAAAGGCACAGAGTTGTAAAGGGGCTGGAATAAGCAGAGAAGGGATAAGAAATTCAGCATGGCAGAGCACAGTGTGTGTGGTGGTAGAAGAGATGACACAGATAATTGTTGTGCACCTATTGTAGAGATCTTCGTGTGGTGATCTAATGAACTTGGACTTTATCCTATAATTTAGCCCAAATTCAAAAGAGATTTTTTGACAGATCAGTTTTGCCTTGAGGAATGTTACTCAGGCAGTAGACTGGAGGATGAATGCAAGTGTGCAAATCCCACGAGGAAGTTATGAAAAAGGAAGTTTTTTTGTATAGACATGGAACCGTCAGCATGCAGAAAGTGGGTTAGAATCCTTGGGGAAGACTGGGATAATCTTGGGAAAATGGAATAAGATTTTTAAAAGGACCAAACAGAATTCAATGGAGCACCAACATTTCAGGTGACAGATCAAATAAGGTAGATTATATAGAAAGAAAAAACTGGAGAGAATCAAGGTGGATGGGTCAAACACTTCCATCCTCTAAGACAGGCACAGAGGAGTTAAATGACACTATGAAGCAAAGCACATTTCTCTGCCCACCACTGTGCTTATTTACATGATCTAGTTTAGTAATTGTGTTATTAGGAGGTTGGCATAGTAGCTTCAATTGCTGTTGAGAAATAAAAAGCTAAAAATTCTTCAAAGGGTTGTCCAACTTTCACAGAGCTGTGAAGTGAAAGAAGTGAAATAGGGAAGTACAGCAGCAGGAGGATGGTAAGTTGAGCGAGTTCTTCTGTGATAGACGGTGTTTTCTCCTTAAAGACTGAAGTAGGAGAGAAGGAAATAAAATAATAGGGTGTGCTTTGGAAACAGGCTTTCCAGAAAATGTAAAGGGAGTTTCCTAGACAAGGTAAAATCAATGCTGGGTCCTGTGGAGATGGAAAACTATAAACTCAAGAATAGTACCAATTTTTGTAACTTTGTGGTTTTCTGCAAATAGGAGCAAAGAATATAAAGTTTGCTCTGTATCAGCTTTGCTCTAAGTTAGGGAATTTTCATGAATCTAGAATCTACATAAAAGTCACAACATGAAATGCTTACAAGAGTTTGTGAGGCCACTAAAATTCATGATGCTGGCCAACTAGTTGGATGGGATATGAAGAGCTGAAAATTTAGAGATCTCAGATACTCAGATCCTGCAAATTATTATAATGAGGAAGTCTGGGTCCTAAGTTTTCATATCCTCAATTTTTTCAAGAGAGGGTGGAAATGCATATCTTAATATGAAATCTAATTTGAATATGAAATCTAATTTGAATATAAAATCTAATTTGAAAATACTGACTCTCGAAAAACAAAATGAAGCGCTGCTTAATAAATAACCAACAGCGTACTACTGTGTGACTTGTGCTCTAAGTGATTCTCCTTATGAAACTCCAAAGTCTACCTAATGTGTGTTAAAGTTGACAATGGTTTATAGTTCCATATGATACATATAGATGTTTGTCCTACCAGAATAAAGTTTCATCCAGGATTTGGAGGCCATTCAGAAATTATTTAAAGAAGTTTGGCTGATTACTTGGAAGTTGTAACCAAACCTAAATCCAGAGACAGTTGGGGAGTTGGGATGTCATCATCATTTCTGTTATGTTTCCCCTATTCTGGTTAATCATGTTGAAATGGAATGCTGGCCGGGTGTGGAGGCTCACACCTGTAATCCCAACACTTTGAGAGGCCGAGGTGGGTGGATCATTTAAGGTCAGGAGTTCAAGACCAGCCTGGCCAACATGGTGAAACCCCGTATCTACTAAAAATACAAAAATTAGCCAGGTGTGGTGGTGGGCGCCTGTAGTCCCAGCTATTTGGGAGGCTGAGGCAGGAGAATTGCTTGAACCCAGGAGGCGGAGGTTGCAGTGAGCTGAGATTGTGCCACTGCACTCCATCCTGGGTGACAGAGCGAGGCTCTGTCTCAAAAACAACAACAACAACAACAACAACAACAAATTATTTAAGTTCAATTTATGTGAAAGAGAACAAGTAACAAACGACATAGGTTAGTAAGGGATCTGAGTTTTGAGAAACACTTGAACCCAGGACATGGAGGTTTTATGAGCCGATATTATGCCACTACACTCGCAACAGAGCAAGGCTCCATCTCCAGAAAAAAAAAAGGAAACAGAATGCATAACACTAGTTGAAGCTTCCCACAATCTGCACAATAACCCACTTTTGGGATGCCTAGGGAAAAACACATTTTAAAAACAATTGAAATATTAGCTTGACATTTCTCAAAACTTTTTCTATATAGGTAATAAAAAGCTGCCTTCTGAATATATTATGTAAGATAACATTGGAATAAGATTAATAAAATATTTTTCTCATCTTCTATATGCATGCCATTTGCTATATGCTGGAAACAGAGTTGTTTAATCACTATCATCTTTCCCTGGTACTTAAAATAGTAAAAAAGCACAGATCAGAACTGAACATTCCCTGACTCTTGTCACTTCCATACAAATGTATTCGGATGACATAGCACTACTTAGAGTAAATCTGGAGCAGAAATAACTCTGGCTTCTGACTGATTTCAGTTTCACTTGTTCCTGGTTTAGAGATAATAGATTAGTATTAAATGGAAATAAGTCAAGGTCATGGTTTTTTGGTCATAAGTGAAATTCATCAGCCTCAAGCCTTTTCCCCTATATCTCCTCTGACTTGTGCTGAAACTTTTCCTATTCAGATGAGTTATGTTGGAGAATTTGAGTAGTATTTCTGTAGTAGGCTTCAATATGATATTCACGGTCCTTGGTAAGGAAATTACACTACATGTCAAATTGATGTTCAAATGCTACCATGCCTTTATGGGACAGCTTTCTTCTCCTTTGATATTATATGTTTCCAATAGAGCAGACAGATTTGTTTCAAGTTGAGATGAGACATTCATTATTAACTCAAAAGGTTTTCATTGGCTGATTAGTTTGCTCTCCAGTCAAGTTCTGAACACTCACATTTCTTTTAACTACTTTTGATCCACTAATAATTTCTTTTCTAATAGCCTCAATTTTTCCATCTTTCCACATCTGGGAAGCATTTATTATTTCCTTACTTAACAGAGAGAATATAGCACTGCCTGACCTTCATCTTCCCTTTATCTACATGGTGATAACAATTACAGATTGAGGAATTTTGTTTTCTAAGCCACATAGGTGTTTGGCCAAAGACATTATTTGTGATCACAATAACACATGACTATAAATTCCTTTCCTAAACCTGAAGGAAAAGAATGACATAGGTGGTGTCCAAAGTTATTGGACAACATAATGCCATGACATCAGGAAGGATAGCCCAGGCATCCTAGCAGTATCTGGTGGCACTGTGGTGATGACACATGTATAAATTATGGTCATCTAAACTGATGCATATGTGAGCGCTTACAGAAGCCAAGTCCTGGGACAGAGAACCCAGAAGAACTCACGCAATGTGGATAGATATGAAGCACAACCAGTACAGTGAGTTATAGACCCTATGTCTGGCAGGAACCCTTTTCTGCTCCATGATGGCTGCGTGACCTTGCAAATGTTATTTACTTTCTGTGACTCAGTTGCCTACTGTGTATAATGATAACAACATTTCTCACACAAGGTTGTTATCAGTGTGATAGTGAGAAACAAAATGCTATTTAAATTCACAAGTATCACCAGATGCTGCTATCTCCTAAGGGGATAGATTATTTTTTTCCTTCTTAAAATTTGTGCTCCTTTTTCCTATTTGGTTGTAAAAAGAAGAGTCTGAGGACATGTGTGGGAAGGCAAACAGTCTATCGAGTGGGGCCAATAATGATAAATTGCTGTGCATAACCAATGCAAATTTTGAAATTTCTATAGGAAGAGAGTGATCTGGGAGTACCAGAAGGGTGAAGAGCTTAGCAAGTGGGTTGGGGAATCTGTGGGATGTTGGTCAGTAAAAATGACAAAGCCAGAGAGAGAAGGAAATATGGAGGGCTTTCAGCATCTTAACAAAGTTTGACAAAGGTTTAAGCCAATTTAATTTGACTCACAAAGACCCAGTTTCATTTGAATTGTAAAGAAAAAAAAAATGTGTTCATACCCAGAGGCCAGACTGCCGTAATTTTGCTTTTAACTAGGTCTGTGGCCTTGGGCAAATTTATTAGCTTGTCTGTACCTCAGTTTTCTCATCTGTAAAATGGGGTTTATAATGGAAACCACTTCATAGAATTGTTCTAAAAGTTAGTTGAACTGATAGTTATAAAGGGCTGAGAACTGTGCCTGGCACATAGTGTTAGATGTGTTGTGTAGTGCATTTTCCCAAAGTTTAAGTTACTTAATTTAGAAAGATACTATGGTGATAGAGGGTGGGGAAGGGAGGATGGTAAGATAGGATGCAGGAGCTGGGGAGTTCAGTAGGACAGTCCAGGAAAGCCTTGATCACAATGGGTTTGGGTGAACTCAAAGCTCTGTGTTATTCTTCATCATTTGGCATGAAATAATTGCATCATACCCATAACCCACTGACAAAAATAATTGTCAAAGACAATGTGGTCTGAATCTGTATCAGTATTGTCAATAATAATAATAATAATAATAAAAAATCATTTGAGCCACATATGTAATTGTAACTTTTTGAGCAGGCACATTTAAAAGAGTAAAAAGAATTATTACTTTAAAATATATTTCATTTAATCCAATACATGTAAAATTTATTATTTCAACATATAATTAATATAAAAATAGTATAATTTGCACTACATTTTTAATATATCTGGTTTTCAAAATCTGGTATGTATTTCACACTTATAGAACATCTCAATTCAGGCTAGGCTTATTTCAAGTGTTCAGTAGTCACAAGTGGTTATTGGCTACTGTATTGGACAGTACAGTGCTAGATTAAGAAGGAGAAAGGAGAAACATATACCGGTGTCTTCAGGTACATAAAAGGTGTACTACGGCTAAGTCCTTCCCAGTCAACAAGACTTTCAGCCCCTGCATGCTCATCCTCTGGGTACAAAAATGCTCAAGGGATGCTTTGAAATAAATACTTTTCTATCTCTTAGGGAAGATACAATTCTGAGTTAAGCTCTCCCACTCCACTCTATTTTTCTTCCAGTTACATATTTATATATGAGTGAGGTGAACTTAATTGAAACATGCAAACGTAATGCAGGAGTACAGATAAGATCATATCTAAATATGCTGACAGTGAGTTAGAATTATTATACTATAGTATTTATGTAAAATCTTAGATCTGCTTGCCTAAACTTAAGACAGTCTGCAGAACAACTAGAAAAATGCAACACTATCCTCAGAAATTGTATACATTGGGAAGCAGATATTTGACAAAAGTCTGCCAATTACCTTAAGTACAAAGTAAATACTAAAAATATTTTAATCAAAGTAAGAAAAATATTGTAAAGATATTTATGTTTCCTTAAGATTATGTGTCGGTAAAACAAGACAGCTTATGTCATCCCCAAATATTTGTTGTACAATTTCCACACAAAGCTTTATAATTGGATGAAGCCCCAATACTAATATGTGCCTCTTTAAATTTACCCACAGTTAATCAGCAAAGACATTTTGAATTTTTTATTTCACATAAACAATACCAGAATCTGTTCCTAAGTACCAATTATACCTCTTAATTCACATATGTGATGGTGCATTTATGCAAATTAATTATAAGAAACATTTAAAAATATTTTATTGTGTTCATAGGAACTTACATAGAAGAAAGGACATGTTGAAGTAAAAAACATCATCTTTTTATTATTAGAACACTTTCTAAGTTTGCTTATAACTCTATTTATTCACTTGCTGTTTTTTTAGTTGTGAAACCAGTGTAGTTCCTGAGAGAATGTCCTTACTTGGGTAAGTCATTTGTGTAACAGTGCATAACTTTAAAGTAACTGAATGATGAGTAGAATGTTTTTTAAACAGTTTAGGCAGAAATTATATTTTAATGGAACATTGAAAAACAAGCGTAGATTTTACTACGGAAGATTTGACAGCACCCCAAGTAGCTAATCAATCAAAATGAGAACAGGAATTTGGAGGGAGTGAGCCACATTATGTCAGAACTACAAGAGTCCTTTCAGGAGAGCTGGTCTAAACTCAAAGGTTAAGTCACTGAATTAAGTTCTCACAGTTATTGCCAGAATCAAGAATGAACCTAGATTTCTTACCTAGTTGGTTTAGTGATTTTCTCAGTTTGTTATTAATGCTCAAAGTGAACTGACAATTTTGAGCAAAGAATTGGTCATCTGAGAAATAGAGAAGAAACAATTGTAAATAGCCTCTATACAAAATAAATGCAACTCCATGGACAGTGATTGATTCTGTTTACTTCTGTTCTATGAAAATGTCTGTTAAATAAGATAATGCGTATAAAGCACTTAGCAAAATGCCTGCTACATAGTTCACACGTGGTAAACTATCATTTCTTATCATTGTCAGTCATGCACTGGACTTTACATCAGAGAAGTATGAATGATAACACTCATATGCATGGATCTTCAATCTTGAAGGACAACAGCATATCTATTTGTGAAATAATCTAAAGCACTATAATGGGTGTCATTAAATTGTGCCTACCTGAGGCAGTATAAATCATTCAGGTAAATGAACTGATTAAAAACCAATTACCAACACTGTCTGAAATGGAAGATCGAGGAATAGAAAAAGAAGGCTGATGTGGACTCCGTGAAACTGGTAGGAAGACTCAACTCCTGAGGTTCCAGGGAATGGAATTGACAAGATGGTTAGATTGTGGCGGTTCTTCTCAGAGGCATTCAATCCTGCATTTCTTGTAATTAAAAAAAAAAAAAAAAACATGTTTGCTGGCTAGATAGAAAATTGAACTTCATTGAGCAAATGATCATATTTATGATGGCTCTTCATTTGATATTTTATCTAGTTTGTTTGACATTTACCTGGAACAAATAGTTTTCCTCTGAAAATTGCTCAGATTTAGGCGTCTGATTTGAGACCTTCAATTTAGTAGAAGCCATAATTAAGAGTCTGTTTTTGAGGTAAGAAAATTTGGTTGAATCAGATGGGTAGTCCCAATGCAAGCCAAAATCATTATTTTAATGAAAATTTATTTGATACAGTTGAGGGGAAGTTGAACAGATATTTTGGGGTGGTTATTTTACAATAGGCACTAATTCACTGATTAAAATGGATTTTTCATTTTTCATACATATATTAGCTATTAGCAATGACATAAAACATTCATATGTCAGCAACAAGTATATGCAGAAATAACCTTTGCTATCATACGTAAGAAAACCAAGTCAATATATTCCCCTTAAAAAAAAAACACCTGGCCAGGCATGGTGGCTCATGCTTCTAATCCCAGCACTTTGGGAGGCAAGGTGGGTGGATCACCTGAGGTCAGGAGTTCAAGACCAGCCTGGTAAACATGGCAAGACCCTGTCTCTACTAAAAATACAAAAATTAGCTGGGAGTGATGGTGTGTGCCTGTAATTCCAGCTACTTGGGAGACTGAGGCAAGAGAATCGCTTAAACCCAGGAGGTGGAGGTTGCAGTGAGCCAAGATTGCACCACTGTACTCCAGCCTGGGCCACAGAGCAAGACTCCTCCATTTGAAAAACAAAAACAAAACAAAATAAAAAAACCTTCTGTACTTTTTTATTGATGTGCAGTTCTAAGGCCCTGTCTTAGTCTTGTTTGTGCTGCTATAATAAAATACCCAAGACTGGGTAATTTATAAACAATTGAAATTTATTTCTCACAGTCCTGGAGGCTAGAAGTCCAAGATCAAGGTGCCGGTGGGTTCGATGCCTGGGCTCTGTTTCCAAGTGATGCCTTGAAATGTTTGATAGCAAATTCAGATGGTTGAAGGGATGGAAAGGCAAAATGGCACCTACTAGTTCCCTCCTGCCCTTTTTTTTTTTTTTTTTTGAGATGGAGTCTCACTCTGTTGTCCAGGCTGGAGTGCAGTGGTACACTCTTGGCTCACTGCAACCTCTGG
Source organism: Homo sapiens (assembly GCF_000001405.40). NCBI lineage: Eukaryota > Metazoa > Chordata > Mammalia > Primates > Hominidae > Homo > Homo sapiens. Next base: position 115,857,004 of record NC_000007.14, on the reverse strand, counting down.
TTCTCAGGTTCAGACAATTCTCCTGCCTCATTCTCCTAAGCAGCTGGGATTATAGGCATGTGCCACCATGACAGGGGAATTTTTATATTTTTAGTAGAGACGGGTTTCACCATATTGGCCAGGCTGGCCTCGAACTCCTGACCTCAGGTGATCTTCCTGCCTCGGGCTTCCAAAGTGCTGGGATTACAGGCGTGAGCCACTGTGCCTGGCCCCTCCAGCCCTTTTTAAGAGCACTAATCCATTCATGAAAGTGTCCTCATGACCTGATCATCTCCCCAAATCCACACCTCTTAGTAGTATAGCATTGAAGATTAAGTTGCAGCATAAATTTTGAAAGGACACAAACATTCAAACCATAGCAGACCCTGTACTTATACTTGCACTTTCTCTATTTGTTGACATTGTACCACTCTCTGGATTTTTCTCTTACATAGTTTTTCTGCACTCTACACAATTGGATCCTTAATGTACATGTATTGCCTCTCAAAGCTGCATTTTTATCAGCATCCTAATAAAAACGGTCATTCCTCTAAGGCAGTGGTTCTCAACTTTTAACCCATGTTAGAATTATCTAAGGCAAGCTTGTCCAATCTGTGGTCTGTGGGCTTCATGCAGCCTAGGATGGCTTTGAATGCAGGCCAACACAAATTCGTAAACTTTCCTAAAACATTATTAGATTTTTTTTGAGAGTTTTTTTCTTTTTAAAGCTCATCAGCTATCGTTAGTGTTGGTGTATTTTCTGTGTGGCTCAAGACAATTCGTCTTCCAACATGGCCCAGTGATATGGTTTGGCTGTGTCCCCACCCAAATATCATCTTGAATTGTAGCTCCCATAATACCCACATAATACCCACATGTCATGGGATGAACCCAGTGGGAGGTAATTGAATCATAGGTATGGGTTTTTCCTATGCTGTTCTCTTGATAGTGAATAAGTGTCATGAGATCTGATAGTTTTATAAAGCACAGTTCCCCTGCACATGATCTCTTGCCTGCCACCATGTAAGACATGGCTTTGCTCCTCCTTCATCCTCCTCCATGATTGTGAGGCCTTCCAGCCATGTAGAACTATAAGTCCATTAAACCTTATTTTCTTTATAAATTACCCAGTCTTGGGTATTCTTCATAGCAGTATGAAAATGGACTAATACACCCAGGGAAGCCAAAACATCGGACACCCCTGGCCTAGGGTATTGTTAAAAGATGCACCTCTCCTAGTCCCCTGCCCCTTGAGATTCTGATGTCCTAGGTCTGAATGGCAGCCCAGGAGTGTTCCCTTTAGCCATCATTCTAAGTGATTATGGTGCAGGTTTCTGATGGCTACATATTGAGAAATACTGTTCCTAAAGAATCTCATCCTAGCTTTCTTTTCATTAAATTAAGAAGTGTACCAGGTGATTTTTTTCCTCTCTCTGATTACACAGTTTACATTATCTGTTATTCCTTTCTAAATTGACCACACTGATTAAACACTTACCACTATATTGATTCACTGGAATTGGTCTATTGATAACATGCATTCTATGATTACACTGTATTCTCAAGAGCTCTCATTTGCAAGCATGAAAAACCCTTTTGAATAAGCCTGAATGCAACAAGAAATTTATTAGAATGGTAGTAGGCTATCTCATGTAACCAAACCAAAGTGAGTGGAGGGCAAATGTCCAGGACAACGAGTCCATCATTCTCTGTATTTGGCCTTATATATTTGTTTTTGGTGCAAACTCACTTTCTGGTGTTTGGAAAGATGGTAATGAGCTTCTCTAGAGTTATATTTCTTATATATCTAGAAAATACTGGGTAGTATTACCTATGGAGGGCTCTGACTGGCCCTGTACATCAGGTGTTCATCTCTGCTTTGGGGTATGAGGCCTATAAGAACATGTCCTCTCCCATTCAAAACACAAGATTGGATTCAAAGATGGGCCAAGTGTTTCCCAGAAGAATAATGGTTCTGTCCTCAGAAAATAAAAATATCCTGAGTCACAATAAATACCCACTGGATTTTCTGACACATCTGTATTATGAGACAGATTCTCATAATTTGTCCTTGCCCTTATGACTTGAATGAGAAAGTACTGATTAATTCAGTCAAGAACTTATTAACAAGTGACTAACATCTAGAAATATGACCCAAGAAACACTCTGACTAAAACATAAGATAATGTCTCCCTCTGTTGCCCAGACTGGAGTGCAGTGGCATGATCTCAGCTCACTGCAACCTTCACCTCCCGGGCTCAAGCAATCGTCCCACTTCAGCCTCTGAAGTAGCTAGAACTACAGGTATGAGCCACCATGCTTGGCTAATTATATTTTTTACAGAGACAGATTTTTCACCAGGCTGTCCAGGCTGGTCTCAACCTCATAAGCTCAAGCATCCACCTGCTTCGAACTCCCAAAGGGCTGGGATTACCACACCTAGCCCATGTTTTCCTACTTCATCCTTCCCTCTTCTGCACTCGATATCTAACACACTTCTATGTATGTACACTCATGTGCACACATATACACATACAGGCACACTAATAAATATACAGGCACACTAATAAATTCAATGATAAATGCCAAAATGTTACAATAAAACGTTTCAGCATTCTAACTCTTTACCTCTTTTCCGGCTACCATATTTAATTTATATTTTCACTTAAAGGTATTGATTAATTCAATTAAGAACTTAACTCCGAACTTTGACAAAGAATGGCTTTCATTTTCTCTTTCAAAAATATCTTGAGAGTGGTGATGTTTTATTGTTTAGGTTTTTCTTCACAGAGATAACTAAAAACAAATTATTTCTGCCAGTGTACAGATAAAACTGTAATTCTGCTTGATTATGCCATAATTAATTTTGCAAACATTCCTTAAATCCAAAGATACAGTTCATCTGTTCAACAGTAACTGTTTGTATCTTATTTAAACATTTTAACTTACCTCCCAGTCACTTGGAAGCTCCAATGGTATAATATAACGCACTAGTTAAATTTACTTGCCAAGTTTACATTTTAATACTACTACATAAAATAATTTAGAGCTATAAACTACAGAATTTCCTAGATAAACAACAGTTTATAAATAACTCCAGAGAATGGTGTACTTGAATTAATAAAACAGGCATTCTACTACTACTAGGGATGTAATAATAATTGAGACTTTGTCTTTGCCTTTGTATTTAGTAACAGAAGCTCTCCCATAGATTTCATTTTGTACCTTTACAGCTAGAATTAAATCTCATGACCATTTCCAAATTCCAGAGGGTGTGAAAAGCCAAGCGTTTCTCTTAATAGCATCAAGAGCAAAGGAAGGCAGGGAGAAGGGAGTTGAAATGGACATTTAGTGAGCTGTCTCATCCTATCAGCTACATGGAATTTACCTGGAAGACAGATTTTTAATCTGCAGACATGGGCTTTCTAATTGGCGTTGTTTCAGTTGCTCTGCTTTCTTCCTTGGGGTTACATAAAATTTCTAGAAATGGTACTGAGTTTGTTCGTTGCATCAGCCATCTTCTCTAGTATCTCTTCAAGTCCTGAACTTCTTTTCTGCATTTTGGCCAAATTTTTCAAGACCGTGCTTCTCATCAACTAATTTTAAATTTTTACATGATTATTTTTTAAATTCTGGTCATGCATTCTTAGTTTCCTATTGTTGTCTTGTTGTCACTATTCTCTTAAGTAATAATCATATTTTTTTCTTTAATAAAGGTTCCAGTTCAAAGCTCTCATCCTAATCCCTCAGTTTTTGGAAAGTTATTTATGCTATGTAGCACTAATGTATTGATGTAGAATGTCCTACTTCCATTTCCTAGTTGTTGTGTGATTAACAGTGGTTTAGGTGAATAGAAAAAACCCCTAGAATGTAGTATATTAAGATATTTTCAGTTTTGAAAAACATCCATAATACTTTGCTAATGGCAAGCTAAACGTAACTTAACTCCAGTTCTTCTCTGGCTTCCTCATCCATTCTTGCTCTGTGGTCTCCTATAACTAGTTATTTCTGAATGAATATTAAATAAGAATGAAGGAAGGGCAGAAAACAGTGATGTTGCCACCTTCATTCGTGAAGAATTAAGTGGATGGACAGTTTGGGGGTTTGTACAGCTCATGATTCAAGGCTTAGACAACAGAGAATTGCAAAACATCTTCCTGCTGTTTAAATTAATGGACTCCATTTCCTAAGGTTAATATACTACAGAGTATAGATGGGTGTTTCTCAACATTTCCAATGGTGATTTGTTATTCAATGTTACTTTTCAATGTTATGAACTTTTGTTGTTTTCTGTTCTTCCTGGGCATTTGGGTATAGGGCTGGAATGGGCTGTATTGGGGAATGCTAGTCAAATGCCATTTTATGCTAGCAATCTCTTCAAAGATGATCAGAAAGAAACTCAGAGGTAAGAGGAAAAGGAGAGCAATAGAGATGTATGTACTGATTCTGCACCTCCTGTGAAATCCTTCTTGAATGATACATATTTTAAGGTGTAATTTATATGTTTGTGAAAATTCAAAGTTAATGAAGAACATAAAATACAAGTCAATGCTTACATGTTTGACTATGTCTTGGTCACAGATTTTTTTAAAAGGGCCTCCACAATCCTACTTAAGATGCTCTGAATCACTAGTCTATTTTAAAATGTCCTCCACATTTTCCTTAACATTTTTATAAGCAATTTTCATTGTCTTTATTAGTTCCTCCTTATTTAAATTTTTCTTCTTCATTCTTTCTTAAAGACATTTTAAAATGAGCTCAATATATCAGCCTTCTTAGTGCAATAATTAATTCTTTGCTTCCTCTCATTTATTAGTTACCCTATTTTTTCTTCTGTTTCTGTCTTCCCCCGATACATCGGTTCTACACTTTTAAATTCTTCTTATAACAGATCGAGTCAGAGTTTTTTTAATTTTTTACTTATATTTTATTGGTTTTGTTCTTCTATTTATAAATATACTTTCTGTTGGGAGGGGGTTGAGTGAAAATATATGGTAAAATTGACTATTATGCTCTAAGTTGGGTTATTTTTTCTATTACTTTTCACAATGTTTAATGCTTACTATTAAAAAGGTGGTTCTTCTATTCCCTTTATTCTGTGACTTTTCTCAGGGACCTCCATGATGCCTCAGGACACCAATTAACCCTATCTATAACTACAGTAAAAAGAATCATTGATATATTAAGACAGGTTGAGGATCAATTAAAGATGGTGATTTTTTAAAAGTAAGACTGTCCCTTCATTCCCACTGCAATACACAACTTTGTGTTCGATCTTTACCTTTTAGGGCCTTAATTTTATCTTAGAAGAAGACATAATTTAATATTAGAAGAAAAGACAAATATGTTTTTAAGTATGCATAGTAATACAAATAAATGGTAAAATACTGTGAAATGGAGGTTTATGTCGGATCTTCTGATCCTTTTATATAAGCTTATGCATTCATGTTTTGCAAATAGCTCTTTCAATCAGATAAAATTTGTTCTTGTGAATGAAATCACTAATTCTTAAGAAATCTGATTAACACAAGGGGGCAGCATGGTATAGTAGAAAGAGCACTGGGCTTAAGAGTCAAGAGCCTGAGTTCTAGTCTCATCTATTGACAGATGGAAAGGGAGTAACCACTTGAATATTTTCTAGGGGGTACTTGAGGAGGAGCTTTTTCTCTTCATCTCTAAAATTAGGGGTACTGACTATATAATCTAAAGGATTCCTTCAAACTCTAAGCATCTATGCCGAATTTGCCTTTTTTTAATAAATAGTTTTTACAAAGGTAGAAGAGAATTAAAGCAAAGTCCAAATTCGCAGTGGTAAGATTTAAATTAAATGAACATGTTTTCATCTTTATAATGCATGAGGGGGTAGAGCGAGCTCCTTCCTGCCACCCCTGCCCCCACCCCCAAGAGGGAATATTGAACATTGTAGCAGTTGAGCTGACTCTGAGTCAAGGAGGGCTCAGTGAAATGGTCACAACAACTGCAAATTTGAGGTGACTATAAAAACTCTAAAAAAGCTTTGCCTCAGCTATGGCTTAGTTGTATGTTATGCTGACAGGGCAATTGTGAACTCTTCATTCTCCAAGAGGCTAGCAAGCTGTTGGTAAGGGACATAGGGAACTGTCAAAAAGAGAAACCCATGGGAGATCCCATCATTGTTCATCAGCACAGTCAACTGAAGTCACTGTTGGTGCTGATACAAAGTTATAAAAGCCACTGGCGGGAACCAGCGATGAGAAATTCTTTGGGGAACTCTCTTTCATTGGTATTTTTAGATTGAGTTGTGTACTATGGAGGACCTTTCAAAGTTTCTGGTCTGTTCTACCAGTCCAATATATCCCTTTCATGTGGTGAGTAATTTGCTGAGAGAAGTAATTTTATTTGGATTCTAACCTAAAGTTGGTGATCATATTGTCTGCCACATGAACTTACACTACTGATGGTTACTGATTTGATCAGGAGTTAACCATCAACTCAATGAGAGTCAATCCATGAAACAGCTAGGAACTTATGAGGTGGTTTGGAATTGAGTTATTCCCAAGAAGAAAGATCATTAATTGGCCAAAATCAATAAAAGTCTACTTCTTTGTAATTTGAACTAGAGATATGGAGAAAATATCAACATGTTGGTAGCAGAAACATAAGCTAAAAGACCATAGAGAAAAGGCAACATGTAATTGCTAGAAGGGAGAAAATGGCATAATTAAGGATAAATTCTAAATTAGTATATGCTGTGAAGTAGAAAAACATCATCACACAGTAAAAGTAATGTTTTTAGTTGGCAGGTGCAGAAGAAAAACATACAGATCAACTGAGAGACCACATGAGAAAAAATCATTAATTACCACTGTCGGGGGGGTGAGCAACAAGGTAATGCAGTCACTGGTTCAACTTTGGATACTTCCACTACCTGAGTGCATTCCGATTTCAGAGAAAATTAATGACAACCAAAATATAAAGAGTCAACTATGACTCTTTTCCCTGTGTTCTTATGAAGACTGATTACATGGCTAAGATTCCTATTCCTGTCTTAATTATTCTCACACACTTCCTTGAAATAAATTGTTTTGTTTGAGCTAACAAAAGCAAATTTATACAATACATCATGACTATAAATTGATCTCAAAAGATGCAAAAGCAAGTTAAAAATTCATATGAGGTAAACAAAATTCAATCAGATAGCATTTTAAATATCAGTTAAAAATGTATGGTTCAAGAATGAAGTTGTTCAGAATTCTGTCAAGTTCAAAGGTCTTTAAGCATTTAGTAAGGCAGGTTTATAAAGAGCAAAAGAAATGCAAAATCCAATCAAGTGATTAGCTAGGTGTTCCAATACTATATTATTTTCTTTCAGCTCCAAATCTATTTCTTCCCATGCTTCATGGTAATGATACAACCCAGGTAACATTTACTTTGCCAAGTTGCAAAATGCTAGGCATTATCAATAGAGGGCACTGGAAAGATCTGGCAAGGCTGTAATAAAGGAAGATACCTCTCTTTGGGGTTCTGGTCTTCCATTATTATTATTCAGTGCAAAATTTCAGGAGCTCCCACAGAAGCAAACTAGCTGTGCTTTCATGTCACGATCTTGCCAACAACCAATTCTGAAATTCTAGCTCTTCCTGGCCACACCCTCCAGCAACTGTGGGCACTCCTACAGACTACGTCCCATTCACAGCCTCTGGGAATTTCTTCACAACCAGAAGTCTACATGTTTCTCCTATTGGAAGAAGTCTGCCTCTCAACTTTGGCAGCAAGAATCCCTAGTCATTAATTTTGTCCATTTGTTTTTGCTTGTTTTGTTATTGTCCATACCCCCTCAGCTTAGAGGTAGTAGTTGCTTTTTTGTACTTGCTACTTCTGGAGTTTTTAAAGTCCTCTTTTACCTCTCTTATCCATCTTCTACTAATTAACAATTCTCTTCATTAAATTCAAATAACTACTATGGTTATTGCCTCCTATTGGATCCTAAATGATGGAGCTGCATATGTTTTGCTGACTGCTATTAGTACTGAATCCAAGGATTTGGCCTACATGATTATCTCCTTTGAGTAATGAAATTATTCACACAGAAAAAAGAAATCGAATTTAGGATGTCATATCAGGATGGCCAATGAGAATACAGTCAGCATCCCATTCAAAAGCTTAGGCAATTGCCTACATTAGTGAGAGTGCATATTTTAACCTTAGGAAGATTTTAATATAAATATAGAAAAGTGTCTTAGGTTATATTCTAAGGAAACAGTCTGAGATGGAGATTTGTGTGCAGGAGCTTTTTTGGAAAGGGCTCTCCCCAAAAAGGAGAGCTGATGTGAATACATCCAGATAAAGGTCTCATAAGATCCACAGGGAGCTCAAGTGCTGAGGTGGCCATTCACTGTTCTTCCACCTTGATAAGGTTTAGAACAAGGAGTTGTTAGTCTCCATCAACCAGTCATTTGATATGGGCTGATTCTGGGAAGGAAAGTTATCCAGAGAATTTTGAAACAAATCTCCTTAACTAAAGGGAGTCCAGAGAGTGACTTGACTGACAACCTACCAATCAGCTGTTCACACTACCATTAGCTGGAGAAATGGGCACCACATTTCTAAAGGAGGTTTCTGAGCAGCTGTGTTAATTACGTACTGCTACTTAACAATCCTCCCCAAAATTTGGTGGCGTAACATAAAGACAACATGGATTTTGATCACAAATTACAATTTGGACATGGCTCAGGGGGAATAATCCTTTTTTGTTCTACTCAACATAATTACAATGGCTCAAAGACTGGGAGTTGAAATTCTCTGGAGACTTGCCACTCATGTTTGTTTGTTGATGCTGGTTGTCAACCAGGACCTGGGCTTGGGTTGTCAGCCACTCCAAACATGGTAGCAACATCACTTCCTCTAAATTTTTTTTTAATAGTATAAATATTTTGTTAGGAACGAATTTGTGTATGGTTGACATTTTATTTATGTGGATATGTAAGGTAATTTTGGCTTTTAATGCAAAGACTACAACTCCAATTTCAAATGTAATTGAGCAATTTAGAAAAGATTTTAAGTTGAAATTTTAATGTGTTCCTTTTCAGAAATAGAACATTTAAGAAAAGGTAAATCTCATTGTATTTTTACGCTTAATTTTTAGATTAACAAAATTGTTTTAGTACTCGGAAAGATCTGGTTAATTTAGTTAAAATGTTTTAAAATAAAAAAGAATGTATACATTTATAAATGCCATTTAAATGTCTGAGAAAATATATGTGTAAATGAGACCAAACATTATTCATTAAAAAAAATTATTAAAATCTGCACAGTGACAACAATATTTAGATTGGCAAGCTGAATTTAAGAACTAGGGGAAAACTATAGTTTTTAATGTATATCATTTAACAGAATAACAGCTTTTAGTTCCCCAATAAAGTTCTGAATAGTCTTTTTTGCATGCAAAAATCTACCTTTTTAAAATTTATTTATTTATTTTTGAGATGGAGTCTTGCTCTGTCATCCAGGCTGGAATGCAGTGGCAGGATCTTGGCTCACTGCACCTCTGCCTCTTGAGTTCATGCAGTTCTCCTACCTCTGCCTCCCAAGAATCTGGGATTACAGGCGTGTGCCACCAGGTCCAGCTAATTTTTGTATTTTCTGTAGAGATGGGGTTTCACTATGTTGACCATGGCTGGTCTCAAACTCCTGACTTCAAATTATCTTCCTGCCTTGGCCTCCCAGAGTGTTGGGATTACGGGCATGAGCCACCTCCCCTGGCCTCAAAATCCACCTTTTGGATGTCTCTTCTTTTTCCTCACCAAAAACCTCTCATCAACATAACCAACAAGTCAACTCGCACAGAGATATTGATTATAACACCCAAATTTTTAACACAGGGTTTGACCTTAATAGGCTTGTAGAAATTTACAGTTTCAGCACAGATCAAGTCAGCTGTATGGACAGTGCCATGTGCTTAGGACTGCAATCTCCCCGAGATCATCTTCCGAAGCTACTCCTTTTCAGGAGCTTACAATGTGAAACAGACAAAAGCAGAGTTGCTTTGTTCATAAAGATTGAAATAAGGCTGGGGCTGAATTTGGCCCTGACCAATGCATTTTCACCTCCCTTGTACAGCACATTTTGAAAATCACTGGTTGGTCTAGCATATAAAGTAATACAATTTAAAAGCTCAAGGTATCATTAGCAACTTTACTGTCAGTGATCTACTGATTAACTGGAAGTATTTTTTTTCTTGAACTAAGGGACTCCACAGGGTCAGTTCTATAGGTTAGAGCTTTACTGTCAGTGATCTACTGATTAATCGGAAGTAATTTTTTTTTCCTTTTCTTGAACTAAGAGACTGCACAGGATCAGTTCTATAGGTTAAAGCACATGTAACATTCTTTCTTTTAGAAATTTCCTTTAAAACTGTACCTTAGAATTATAATATGTTATAATATGTTCTAAAGAAAATATGATTAAGCTTTCAATGGGTTTTTTTTTCTGTTGTGTCACATGAACTTTTTGGCAAAATAGTGTTATATTAAATAAGTTGGCTTGAGAGATAATTAAAGACCAATAGCTTTTCATCTAGAAAACACATTAAATATGTCAAAGTTATGGATCTAGCTTCTAGATTTTGTTGTAGATTATCCAGATAAACAGATTCTAGCTTTGAGATTATTTTGTTTAAAAATGAAAAGGTAAATTCAATCCCAAATCTACATGATAGCATATTTGGGGTTATTTATCAGCAATTAATGTGACAAAATATCTTAAAACTGACTGTGTGGCCCTCAACTGAGTAAACTGTAACAATTTGTTAGTATTTACCATTGTCATTTGTCACAATAACCTATCTACTCTCACTCTTAATGTACTACATATCAATGAAGCCTCAGTGGTGTAATCTTCCTGATTTAAAAAAATAAAATAAAAATCAAACAAAAAAACAGCAAGTTAGTACTAGTATAATGAGGCTGCATTATTTTAATTTTATATTTTATTGAATAAATGATTTCAAGTTTTCGTCTAGGCTTTATTATGTAAGGGGAATAATGGTTTCATTACAGCATATCTATTGCTTTAAAACTTAAAAGATGAAAGACATTAGAGGCCTGCTGCAGTTGGGCTCTTCAGGAAGCAGCATCTGAGATGGGGATTATAGACTCTGGTTTTAGATGTATCTGTAGTTTAAAAATGAGACCACATGGAATTTATGGCAATCCCCAGGAGAATGATGATAATATGGAGCCCCTAGTTTCTGAAGCAAAACCATGATGTCTTTAGCATAAAAATTATATACCTCTTAAAAAAAAATAGGAGCTGACATGCTCCTGGGCTCTAGAAGAGAATGAACATGTGACCACTCGGCATGAATTGATTATGCAGTCAGAGCTAACTATCATGAGCTGGGCTCTGTGAGGCTTCCCCAAAAATAAGGTTCAGTGGGCCCAGCAATACATTGTAAGGGAGAAGTTGTACAGCTGGGATCAGGCCAGAGCAGGGTCAAAGAGCAGACTCCTGTCATCACCACCATTGTACTGGTGTCTCTTATTCATACCTGTTGCTCATACCTATGGCTGTACAGAGTCCTGTATGGCCAGCTAGCAGAGGAGGAAAAAGCTAGTGCTTAATATATGCACAGATGAAATGAAGATGCTCTGCTGCTTAACTCAGGGATGACCTTGAAAGACAGTAGTGAAGAGTATTCTTCCCAGTGGGCAGAACTTTAGGCATGATGCACCTGGTTGTCTACTTTGTAGGAAAAATGAAGTGGCCTGGATGAAATGTCCACAGGCTGTAGTTACTGTCTTGGCTGGTTGTTCAGGGACCTGGAAGGAGAAAGATTGGAAGTTCAAGATCAAGGAGGTCTGGAAAAGAGTTAGGTTCAAAACTGTATGGGAGTCGAAGTGTAAAATCTTTCCAGAAAATGACATAAGAGTTGTGTGTATTTCATATCTCCATTTCCTCACCACCCACATTCTCCTAAACTGACATCATCCAGGCTTTCAAACTCACTATACCAAGGTCACCAAAGGTCTCCATCCTGCCAAATCCAAAGACTATTCTTAGCCTTTACTTACTTGATCTCAGCAGCATTGGGCATTAAAGGTTGTCTTTCTACTTCTGAAACAAGTTTTTCCATGCATCTTCTAGGATATTCCATTCCCCTGGTTTTCCTTGCATTATATTGAATGCTTGTTTTCAGTCACTTTTCCAGACTTCTCATATTCTTTCTGTCCTTTAAATGTTGGAATGTCCCAGTGCTAAATCCTTGGCCCTCTTCTCTTTATGTATATTCACTCACTAGCGAATATTACATAAACCTATGGCTTTCAGTGATACCCACAGCCCTGACTGTTCCCTGAGCCCCAGACTGGTATGTTCAACCATCTATAAGCCATCTCCACTTGGATGAATAATGGGTATGCCTAACTTCAAATGTCCGAACCAGAACGATAGACTTCCCTCCAAAACCTGCTTCTCCATGGAGTCATCCTTATTTTTCTTAGTGATACATCCCATCTGCTCCATCAACATCAGATCCTAATATTGATGCTCAAAGCACAGTATAAACTCGACCCCTTCTCACAACCTTAAGCAACCTCCCTAGGCTAAGCCTCCTGAAGTATCCTGAAAGCTAACTTACTGACATCCAGGGTTATATTCCTGTTATGCTGCAAGATCAATAGCCAGTACACAACAGAAGTGTCCTAGTGACTTTTTTTTTTTAAGACATGAAGTCATATCATAGATCAAAGCCTCCCAGTGGTTTCCAATTACATTCAGAATAAAGTCCAAACTCCTTGCCATAGATAAAAAGCTCTCCCAGATTTACCCCTGCCTGCGTCTTGGACCTCTTCTCCTATTCTCCCAGCCCGTTCCTCTCTTCATTTATTCTTTGGCCGACTAGCATTCTCAGCATTGCCCAAATGTGTGCTTATTCCTCCTCTAGGGACACTGTTCTTGCCATCTTGCAAAAACCCTTCTTGTCAAAATTTTTCTGTGGTTTTCTCCCTTAGATCATTCACGTCTCTAATCAAATTTCACTATAATAAACATTTTAGTCGGGCGTGGTGGGTCATGCCTCTAATCCCAGCACTTTGGGAGGCCGAGGCGGGCGGATCATCTGAGGTCGGGAGTTGGAGACCAGCCTGACCAACATGGAGAGACCCTGTCTCTACTAAAAATAGAAAATTAGCTGGGCACATGCTTGTAATCCCAGCTACTGGGGAGGCTGCGGCAGGAGAATCGCTTGAACCCGGGAGGCGGTGCTTGCAGAGAGCCGAGATCGTTCCATTGCACTCCAGCCTGGGCAACAAGAACGAAACTCCATCTAAAAATTAAAAAAAAAAAAAAAATTAGCCTGAGCATATTTTTTGCAGATTATTTAAAACACATACTCCTGGCCCGGCGCGGTGTCTGTTGCCTGTAATCCCAGCACTTTGGGAGGCCGAGGCGGGCGGATCACAAGATCAGGAGATCGAGACCATCCTGGCTAACACGGTGAAACCCTGTCTCTACTAAAAATACAAAAAAATTAGCCGGGCGTGGTGGCGGGTTCCTGTAGTCCCAGCTACTCGGGAGGCTGAGGCAGGAGAATGGCGTGAACCCGGGAGGTGGAGCTTGCAGTGAGCTGAGATGGCGCCACTGCACTCCAGCCTGGGCAACAGGCAACAGAGGGAGACTCCATCTAAAAAAAAAAACAAAAACAAAAACAAAAAAAACCACACAAACCCCTTTACCTTCCCCTCAGCCTCTACTGTTTTTCTTCAAAACACTAACTGTTTTCTGCTGTGCTATAGCCTTTTCATGTGTTTATTTTCTCCCTTTCCTTGTAAAACACAAACTCCTGAGGCAGACACTTGCTGGTTCACTGCTTATCTTCAGCATCTAGAACTATGCCTGAAATTCTAAGAAACTTAGATAATATTTGTTGAATGAAAGCTAAATTTTGTAATTTATTATCTTACCAACATTGGAAGATATACAATACTTAACCTATTTTGCAAATGAAGAACATGAGTCAGGAAGGTTAAGTAATGTGGTAAAAAATCACATTGTTTTATTCAATGTTTCTATATGATAGTTGAAACAGGAAATTTCTTTTAAACTTTAGCACCAGGGAGGAAATGCTTGCTTGGGGAATATAATGAAAGTTTTTTTTTTTTAAGTATTATGTTTTCTTTTTGACATTGGCTTCTAGGAAATTACAGTAAGATTTCCACTTAAACTACTGCATTATTTTAATTTTTAATTTTCATGGATACATAGTAGGTGTATATATTTATGGCATACATGAGATATTTTGAGTGTGTTTTTGTTGTGCTATTGATTCTTATGCTTTGTGTATTTTATTTCACTTTTTCATATATACATGTTTAAAAAGTCTTATCCAGCTGGAAATGATGGTGCATGCCTGTATTCCTAGCTATTTGGGAGGCTGAGGTGGGAGGATCGCTTTGACCTGGGAGTTTGAGGCTGCAGTGAGCCATGATTTTGCCACTGTACTCTAGCCTGGGTAACAAAGTGAGACTCTGTCTCAAAAAAAAAAAAAAAAAGTGAAAAAAAGAAAGCCTTATTCTATTCTTCTTACGCTAAAAATAGTATTTTAAGCTTTAAAATTCAAGTGAATAAATTTGGCAAATTTGGTCAACTTAAGGCCAGAATAAAGAAAGAATAGACTATACAGTATCTATTTTTTGTACTTGCAGGTAAAAGGGTTAACAAAGTAAAGTGAGAGCAAAATGATTTTTAACAGTCTTTGAGATGCTTTACAGATTATCAGAGAAGGAAGAGCTCAGAAAAAAAGAAACACCAAATAATGAATGAGGGTATACGTATTATTAATAATTCTGCTAAAAAGGCTGATATATTGAGCTCATTTTAAAAAATCTCTTTTTAACAAGAAAAATGAAGAAAGTTAACTTGGGCAATTAGCTACTGACATGACCACTGCATATGTAGGTAATGATCAAAAGCTTGTGGGTGGTATGACCAACCGAACCTCTCAAAGGAAGATGCACTGCCTGGCACGAGACAGTGTCTGGGCATTAGTTAAAAGTTCTAGGGAATGCAGGTCAATTATTCATTTGTTTTAAATATTTTTATATTTATTTTCACATAGTTGTTTGATTTTACAACACATTAACATGTTTTAAGTTTACTATGAAATCGTTTAATTAAATATAAATAATACTTAAAATTTTCAATCTTTTTAAAAAGAGTATCCCATGGCAGGGCACGGTGGCTCACACCTGTAATCCCAGCACCTTGGGAGGCCAAGGCTGGTGGATCACCTGAGGTTGGGAGATTGAGACCAGCCTGAGAAACATGGAGAAACCCCGTCTCTACTAAAAATACAAAATTAGCCGGGCGTGGTGGCACATGCCTGTAATCCCAGCGATTATCGAGGCTGAGGCAGGAGAATCACTTGAACCCAGGAGGTGAAGGTTGTGGTGAGCCAAGAGAGTGCCATTGAATTCCAGCCTGGGCAACAAGAGTGAAACTCCACCTCAAAAAAAAAAAAAAAAAAAAAAAAAAAAAAGAGTAGCCCATATATAATTAGCAACAGAAATATCCTTTTAGAATTTTCTTTGCTGTGAAAAGAATTTTTTCTCTTTAAATATACTATCTCTGACCCTCTTAGAAACAAAATGGATTTATAAGCACATTTACTTTACATACTACATGATGTGATACTATGTTGTTACAACACATCATTTCATGTCATGCCTAAGATGATATATCTTATCATAGCATAATGCATTTTTAATATATTTGTTTTTTATTTATTTATATCTGTATAGAAGAATATAAGCTCTATGAAGTCAGGGGTTGTGTCTCTTTAGGGTTCTATCCTGGAATACAACAAATCTTCGATACTTATTTACAGATGAATGAATGAGTCGTTTACATTTTACAGTTTAATGAGAGACTTGCTTACAATAATTACATTACTGAAAGTTTCACAGTTCTCCATAGGTCTCTCACATTCTACATGCCCTGCAAGCTGAAGCACCAATCATCTTCTGAAGGATGTTTGTGTGCACAGCAGTGTTGAAAAATCTGGAGAATGTTTCCCTCTGGAGAAAATGGCAGGTTCGTTTACTGTCCAATATAATACAGAATGTGTTTCCCTCCAGGGAAAATACCAGACAAGTTTGTTTACTGCCATCTTAGATGAGGGCTCCCTGAACTTCAGGTCCCTTTCCTGTTACACAACCTACTGCATGTGCAGGCTTCATCCAGACGTATTTCACTGCCCTGTGGGAACTTGGGCTTCAAAAACCAGAGTAAGAAACTGATGATACTCTAGATACTGCTATTACTGTAATAAACGGCCCTTTATCTCTGGCTCAGGTGTGTTGTTCTTCTGCCAGCACCTATGAAACTGTGATGGATTAACTTGTTCCTTGCATGTAGAGTGAAAACTCATACCCTTCATACTTTTTGAAATTCTGTTTTCAGTTAAAAATTTTAACATGGACTTATATTGAAATATAAAAAGACAGATAGTAAGAAACCTACTGTAAAAACTATAATTCTGAAAATAAAATAAAACCCTTAGCCCCAGGTGGGAAGAAGAATGCATAGGTTCTCCTGACATGTAGGGTGAATAAAATAGGAAAAGAAGAATGGTAATTAGAAAGATCCACTTGATAAAAAGAAAAAGGGAAAACAATAAACACCCACTTGAAAATGATATGAATATTTTTAAAGCAAGATGAATTTGCATTTCTGTTGTAGAATATGTTACATTGAAGAAGATATAGTGTCTAGGGAACTTTCCACTTATCTATCCTTATTGTTCTCTATTTATTCAACAAATATTAAACATACAACAGTGTCATATACACTATACTTGGGACTAGGTTTTCAGCATTGAACACAATAGGTCAAGTTACTTACCAATCCCTTGCAGTAGAAGATCAGGTCACTACAGT